>NC_000003.12:69706969-70010000 GCF_000001405.40 Homo sapiens | reverse complement strand
CTCAGACCACAGTGCAATCAAACTAGAACTCAGGATTAAGAAATTCACTCAAAACCACTCAACTACATGGAAACTGAACAACCTGCTCCTGAATGACTACTGAGTCCATAACGAAATGAAGGCAGAAATAAAGATGTTCTTTGACACCAATGAGAACAAAGACACAACATACCAGAATCTCTGGGACACATTCAAAGCAGTGTGTAGAGGGAAATTTATAGCACTAAATGCCCACAAAAGAAAGCAGGAAAGATCTAAAATTGACACCCTAACATCACAATTAAAACAACTAGAGAAGCAAGAGCAAACACATTCAAAAGCTAGCAGAAGGCAAGAAATAACTAAAACCAGAGCAGAACTGAAGGGAATAGAGACACAAAAAACCCTTCAAAAAAATCAATGAATCCAGGAGCTGGTTTTCTGAAAAGATCAACAAAATTGATAGACTGCTAGAAAGACTAATAAAGAAGAAAAGAGAGAAGAATCAAATAGACGCAATAAAAAATGATAAAGGGGATATCACCACCGATCCCACAGAAATACAAACTACCATAAAATACTATAAACACCTCTACGCAAATAAACTAGAAAATCTAGAAGAAATGGATAAATTCCTCAACACATACACCCCTCCCAAGAATAAACCAGGAAGAAGCTGAATCTCTGAATAGACCAATAACAGGCTCTGAAATTGAGGCAATAATTAATAGCTTACCAACCAAAAAAAGTCCAGGACCAGATGGATTCACAGCCGAATTCTACCAGAGGTACAAGGAGGAGCTGGTACCATTCCTTCTGAAACTATTCCAATCAATAGAAAAAGAGGGAATCCTCCCTCACTCATTTTATGAGGCCAGCATCATCCTGATACCAAAGCCTGGTAGAGACACAACAAAAAAAGAGAATCTTAGACCAATATCCCTGACGAACATGGATGCAAAAATCCTCAATAAAATACTGGCAAACCAAATCCAGCAGCACATCAAAAAGCTTATCCACCATGATCACGTGGGCTTCATCCCTGGGATGCAAGGCTGGTTCAACATATGCAAATCAATAAACATAATCCAGCATATAAACAGAACCAAAGACAAAAACCGTATGATTATCTCAACAGAGGAAGAAAAGGCCTTTCACAAAATTCAACAACGCTTCATGCTAAAAACTATCAATAAATTAGGTATTGATGGGACGTATCTCAAAATAATAAGAGCTATTTATAACAAACCCACAGCCAATATCATACTGAATGGGCAAAAACTGGAAGCATTCCCTTTGAAAACTGGCACAAGACAGGGATGCCCTCTCTCACCACTCCTATTCAACATAGTGTTAGAAGTTCTGGCCAGGGCAATCAGGAAGGAGAAAGAAATAAAGGGTATTCAAGTAGGAAAAGAGGAAGTCAAATTGTCCCTGTTTGCAGATGACATGACTGTATATCTAGAAAACCCCATCATCTCAGCCCAAAATCTCCTTAAGCTGATAGGCAACTTCAGCAAAGTCTCAGGATACAAAATCAATGTGCAAAAATCACAAGCATTCTTGTACACCAATAACAGAGAGCCAAATCATGAGTGAACTCCCATTCACAATTGCTTCAAAGAGAATAAAATACCTAGGAATCCAGCTTACAAGGGATGTGAAGGACCTCTTCAAGGAGAACTACAAACCACCGCTCAATGAAAGAAAAGAGGATACAAACAAATGGACGAACATTCCATGCTCATGGGTAGGAAGAATCAATATCGTGAAAGTGGCCATACTGCCCAAGGTAATTTAGAGATTCAATGCCATCCCCATCAAGCTACCGATGACTTTCTTCGCAGAATTGGAAAAAACTACTTTAAAGTTCATATGGAACCAAAAAAGAGCCCACATCGCCAAGTCAATCCTAAGTCAAAAGAACAAAGCTGGAGGCATCATGCTACCTGACTTCAAACTACACTACAAGACTACAGTAACCAAAACAGCATGGTACTGGTACCAAAACAGATATATAGACCAATGGAACAGAACAGAGCCCTTAGAAATAATGCCGCGTATCTACAACCATCTGATCTTTGACAACCTGACAAAAAAAAGAAATGGGGAAAGGATTCCCCATTTAACAAATGGTGCTGGGAAAACTGGCTAGCCATATGTAGAAAGCTGAAACTGGATCTCTTCCTTACACCTTATACAAAAATTAATTCAAGATGGATTAAAGACTTACATGTTAGACCTAAAGCCATAAAAACCCTAGAAGAAAATCTAAGCAATACCATTCAGGACATAGGCATGGGCAAGGACTTCATGTCTAAAACACCAAAAGCAATGGCAACAAAAGCCAAAATTGACAAATGGGATCTAATTAAACTAAAGAGCTTCTGCACAGCAAAAAAAAAACTACAATCAGAGTGAACATGCAACCTACAGAATGGGAGAAAATTTTTGCAGTCTACTCATCTGACAAAGGGCTAATATCCAGAATCTACAATGAACTCAAACAAAGTTACATGAAAAAAACAAACAGCCCCATCAAAAAGTGAAGGATATGAACAGACACTTCTCAAAAGAAGACATTTATGCAGCCAACAGACACATGAAAAAATGCTCATCATCACTGGCCATCAGAGAAATGCAAATCAAAACCACAGTGAGATTCCATCTCACACCAGTTAGAATGGCGATCATTAAAAAGTCAGGAAACAACAGGTGCTGGAGAGGATGTGGAGAAATAGGAACACTTTTACACTGTTGTTGGGACTGTAAACTAGTTCAACCATTGTGGAAGTCAGGGTGGCGATTCCTCAAGGATCTTAAACTAGAAATACCATTTGACCCAGCAATCCCATTACTGGGTATATACCCAAAGGATTATAAATCATGCTGCTATAAAGACACATGCACACATATGTTTATTGTGGCACTATTCACAATAGCAAAGACTTGGAACCAACCCAAACGTCCAACAATGATAGACTGGATGAAGAAAATGTGGCACATATACACCATGGAATACTATGCAGCCATAAAAAATGATGAGTTCATGTCCTTTGTAGGGACATGGATGAAGCTGGAAACCATCATTCTCAGCAAGCTATCACAAGGACGAAAAACCAAACACCACATGTTCTCACTCATAGGTGGGAATTGAACAATGAGAGCACATGGACACAGGAAAGGGAACATCACACACCGGGGCCTGTTGTGGGGTGGGGGGAGGGGGGAGGGATAGCATTAACATGTTAAATGACGAGTTAATGGGTGCAGCACACCAACATGGCACATGTATACATATGTAACTAACCTGCACGTTGTGCACATGTACCCTAAAACTTAAAGTATAATTTAAAAAAAAGGAAAAAATAAAAAAATAAACAGGAAAGGTCTTAGGGTTGATCCAAGGAGCATTGCTCCTGATAAGCTGTGGTTTTATTCCCTTTTGAGAAGTAGCATAGGAGTGGTAGAAATCACATGGACTTGGTTAACCACTAAGACCTGGGTACAAATCCTACTTCCACCTCTCATTAGCTGTAGGTCCTTGGACTACTTACTTCATCTCTGAGTCTTTGTATCCAGCTTCGCCAAACTTTATAAGGCTCAGGAAAAATACAAAAGGACAGAACGCCATGAGGGAAGGGCGGGCCCTTAATACACATTCCCTTCCTCTTTCTTATGATGTGGTTATTGGTTTCCCTTGGATGACTATTTAAAATAAGAGTCTGAAACACTCCACAAATGTGTGAGAGCACAGCTGCTCATCTAGCATTTGAGGTTTTTATTACGCAAACTGATAAGACATATTCTGTAATTGGTGCATGTTCTTTTTTTGCCTAATGACACTAATCTGTTTTATCTTAGTCATTTAACTGAGTTTCATGATTAGCACAGGCAAGGTTTTAGGGATTTAAATCATTTGTTTGATGTTTTTGCTTTCAGGCATGTTTGATTATTTATTAAAATCGATAAAATCAGCTCTGTCAACTAGTTATTAAAACTATAATTCTTTTATTGGCTAATACCAGGAGGGCTGAGGCAAAAGAAAAACTAAAACATTACATGAATTCTTGATTATGAAGCAAGTTTCTATAGGGGTGGCCTACATACTTTGCATTAACTGAAGCCTGTTTAGAACAAGTCTGTTCTATCTTTAGTCAATAAGGAAAGGACCAAGTGGGTAAGCATATGTGCAACTCATGTTCTAATTTATGCTTTAAAATAAAAACAAGTTTGAAAGAAGCAATGTGTTCTGGTCTTCAGAAAAGAAATACCAAGTACGTGCTAAGGGAGAGTGGTGAATAGTATCCAAAGACGACTTCCCTCCATTCCTTCCCACCCTGTACCTGCATGTCATTCCAACCATCAAGAGGTAAATGCTCTGCCCCTTTTTCTGAATCTGGTCCTGCCTGTGACCTGCTTTGGCTGGTGGAATATGGTGGGGGTGACACTCTGCCAGTTCTGGTCAAGGTCTTCAAGAGGCCTTTAAGAGCTTCCACTTTGAATGTAGAAAGCCAGATGCCACGCTCTAAAAAAGCTTGGGCCAGAATACTAAATGATGAAACACCACATGGAGAAAGAAGGACACATGGTGAAGTTCAGAGATGCAATGTGGGACAAGTAAGTAGCATCTTCTTGTAGCTCCCAGCCCAGCCCACCCCATATGGAACAGAAGAACTGCCCAGATAAGCTCTACTAGCATTCCTAATGTAAGTACTGTGAATAATAATAAATTATTATCTTTTTAAGCCACTAAGTTTTGGGGTGCTCTGTTATTCATCAATATATAACTTAAACAAGGGCAGGAGGGATAAGAGAATAACCACAGACTTTCAGGTAACTTTTAAAATAAAATATTTCATTGAAGGAGTGAATTTCTATTGGCCCAGGATTATCTCTTCCCTTCAATGAAATTTCAACAGAAAAATCTCCTCTTACTGAAACATTGTAGCAAAGAGAGAGAACGCACTCAGATGAGAAAACATTGGTCTAGCATTCAGAGTTCTGGCTCCAGCCCGGGCTCTGCCACTCAGTGAAACAATGCTGGATAAAGCAGTTCCCCCTTTGGGCTTCCATTTTGTCATCAGTAAAATGAAAAAAAGTGGCTAAGTGGGTCATTTGGCCTAGGATTTAAAGCCTTAGGTGTAGATGCTTAAACATGAACTCTATGTATTGTTTTACACGTGATCAGAGAAAGATACTCAAGGATGGATAATAGATAACGTTCTCCACAAAACTTTATGTCTCATTATCTGAACTCACTGCCTGTGTAATGTGGTGTTAGTATTTGTTTTTAAAAACTATAACTTGTGACCAATGCAGTTATGTTGCATTGTATTTTGTATGCTGACTAAATTTTAATTTGAAATTTTCAAACTTTAAAAAATGTTGTAAATGTTGTAAGCTGGTTTAGGTATTTCTTTGTTTCTAACATTTTGGAAGTCTTAGAAGATAGGACTGATCTGTACCTCTTTTAAGCTGTAAGAAATCCTAGGTGTTAGCTATGTTGTCTCTAGGATCCCTTTTAGCTCTACAAGTTGACTGTCACCCAGGTTTTCTTTCATTATTGCACCTACAGAATAATAAAGTACATATTGATTATAATTTGTAATTTTTCTGATATCTTTTTATGGTACCAAGACATCCTTCTGAACTAATAGGCTTTATCAGAAATAAAAGTTTGTCCCAAGAAATCAAAAATTTTTACAGAATTTTTTATAAAATAACATTTACAGAATGTTTTATACGTCTTGGTGTTGTTAACAAAATGTCTGCCCACTCTATGTGGGCAACTTACTAACTTACTAACTTTACTAACTTTATGTGAGCTAACTTACTAGCCATAGGCAGCTCTTAGACAGGTGTCTTGTGTCTGTGTGTGTGCATGAACACCTGTGCACAATAAACAGATGTTACCAAAATCATAATAGTATTTTAACCCCAGTTATATGAAAAATTCAGCCTCTCCTCCTCTCCTGCAAAAAGACAAAAGAAACAGAAAGAAAAAAGAAGCTTTTAACTTTGTAAAAAATTAAGTACCCAAGAGAAGAAAGAAAAAAGATAGTAAATATATAAAATATATGCAAATTAAAGCAGTATAATACCATTATCACCTGTCAAACTGGCAAATTAAAAAAATTAATTCCCAATGAAGCCAAAATAAAGACATTTTCATTCTAAAAGACTAGAAGAATTTGTCACCAGATACTTACTAAAAAATATATTAAAAAGTATTCTTTAAGCTGAAGGAAGATTATCCCAGATGAAAGAACAGACATACAAAAAGAGTAAAGAGCAAAAAAAATATGGTAAATATGTGATGTGTCAAAATGAATACTGAATGTACAAAACAATAATACTAATGTCTTACTGGCTTTTGTAATATATAAAATTAAAATACACAATGTCATATTAATCAGTAGAGAATAAATAGCATTAAAGTGGCTATCACTAATGTTCATAATAAAGTTAAAAGTCCTAATATTAGACTTTGATATGTCAAAGATAGATTTAATAACCATGTAAATACCAAAATAATATAAGTAAAACTTTCAAACTCCTAGAGCAAAGCATGAGATAAGAAAAACTCTTCAATAAAATTTATCCAAAAACATAAAAGAGAAAAGAAAAAGAAGAGGGGATAGGCTAGATAGATAGGAGACACTCTGTAATATATCAATAATTACATTAACTATAAATGTACTAAATGCTCCATTTAAATGACAAAGACTATCCAACTGGATTTAAAAACAAAACAAAACAAACCACTATACACTGTTTAAAAGGCATTAAGTATAATGGTTGAAGGCAAAATATTTTTAAAAAGAGTAAAAATACATGCCATATAAACTAACAAAATGGAAACTGTGAAATAAAACAAAATATATTTTCTGTCAAAAGTACTATTGGAGTAAACAGAGGCAAATAAATAACAAATATTTACTCCTCAGGAAAATGCAGGAATTCTAAATTTGTATGCACCTAACAACATAACCTCAAAATACATGAATCAAAAATTAACAGAATTATAACAAGTAGTAGGTAAATCCACAATCATAGTAGGATATTTTAACATCTATTTCTCTGCTACTATCAGGCCAACTGAACAAAATCAGTATAGATGTAAAAGATCTGAAGAACACAACTAGCAAACCCAATTCAAAGCAAGTACATAGAATACTGTCCCAAACTAGATAAGGCACATTCTTCACAGGCACATGTAAAATGTAACCACAATTGATAACAGGCCATGAAGTAACTCCTAATAAATTTCAAGAGGTTGGAACCATATAGAGTATGTTCTCTGACCTCTAGCAACTAAATTAGTAATCAAAAACAAAAAAAAGTAGAAAATCCATATACAGTACTTGGAGTTTAAGAAATCTGTTTTAGTGGCCTCTACTTCCAGCTATGACAGAGTTGATAGTTGATAATAATCCTCTTCAAAAATAACTATAAAACTGGATGTAAGAATAATGATGATGACTAAATGTAATTCTGCCACTGTTGGTGAGAGAATTATAAGCGACTTGGTGGCTGGCTTTTCTTTGTGTTTTTATATATTCTCTGAGTTTTCTAAATTTCCTATTAGTCACTTTTCGTAAATTCAACGAGAATTACCTTTTCACTCAGTGACAATAAGAAGTTATTACAAATAAGCTGTAATTAATTTTTTTAATTAGTTATGTCTTCAGTCAGTAGTTGTTATTCTTATATGGGGGCCTTCAACGCTGTTTGATGTTATTAAAAATCTACTAATTCTTTGACCCAGCAGTTGCATTTCTACAAATGTATTTCTACAAAACACATTCACACATCTGTCCAAAGGTGGATATGCAAGAATATATACTGTATACAGACGTATATTCTGACCTTTTATTTACAGAACACTAGACTTAAATGTCCACTTACAAGGGAGTGGTTAAATAAACTGTGATACATCCATATAAAGAAGACTCATGCAGGCAATGACCGAGAGTAAAGTAGGTCTCTATACTCTGATATACTGTATGTCTTTGGTTAACTCTCTTTGTTTACAAGCAACAGAAGTTAATTCTGGCTTATGCAAGCAAAACAAAATGAATTGGAGCAATATGAGTTGATCCACAGAATGGACAGGAGCCTGGAGAGCAGAACAGGAATCGGCTACCCTAGACCACTGGGCATCAGGTATTGCTCCATCATCTTGTCTGGATTCTGGTAATGCCTTTCAAATATTGTTCTGATCCTGAGTAACTCTGGATCTGCTTGAGATTGAGTCTAAAGAGAGATAAGCTGGGTTGCATACCTAACCATTGGCTACTTGAGGACAGGGGACCTGATTTACAATCCCACAAGGAGTATGCAAAATTAGAAAGTCGTGATTCCCCCCCAAAATAAAATCAGAGTGCTATTTAAGGGGGACAGAACACTATACAGTAGAAAATGCATCCTCTACATACTGTTAAAAGAATAATGCAAAACCAAAAAGCGTACACATAGTAAACCACCATTTATGTTTTTTAAAAATGGGAGAGAATACATATTACATGTATACATGTAGAACATATTCTTAAAAAAAAAAAAAAACACTAGAAACAACCTTAACATTGTATCTCCCATTAGGCCCTAAGTTCCATGAGGGCAAGAAGTGTGTCTGTCCCATTCATTTCTGTATTTCCAATGACTAACAGTATGTCTTACACACAGGAGGCACATAATAAATAGTGGCAGAGTGAATAAAGGATGTAATTCTACAAAGGAGAAGAGGGATACTAGAGACAGACTTACTTTTCGTTTTTTAATTTTTTTCAAGTGCCTGAAGTTTTTATGCAATTAAAAAGGGTTAAGGATAATTCATAAAGACAACATATTTTTAGGGGGCTCAACAATTCTTTAAGAAGTTCGGGGATTGTTGTTATCAATGACCCACATCACCCCTCTTCCCTAAACCGCCTCATTGTGTATGTGCCCATACAGAGAGCCAAGCAGAAAAGGGCTCATTGTCCAGTGGAACAAACCAGCTCCGGCAGGAGAAGCTCCCCGTCCCTGCAGTGCACACATGGCAACACAGCTTCTCCAGGGCCTCAGGAAATAATGACTTACGGCAAGATAAATAGTCAAGGGTTATTTGGTCATCACGCTGGGGCTCCAGCTCTTTAGAGGTTTGCACTGATAGCAAAAACACTGTTGAGTGTCTAAATAATTTGAATGATATTAATACAAGACCCCAGAAAGAGGAAAACAACAATAGCTTGATGATAGCAAGCTGACAATGGGAAGCATTTTGTGGGCTGAGATGACTGTAAAAGCAAACAATGGTGATATTGTCCTTCTGGTGTTATTGTGTAATGCTGTAATTTATGGATGAAGTGGAATTTCAAACAAAATAAACAGACTTGAATTTGTTAACTAATACAGTAAGCATAGAACATTCTGTTATGTGAAAAGAGAAATGTTTTATACACTCCTGCTATTTGCTAAACAGAAATATGTTTACATTTGGCATAACGTCTTGCTTTTGGTTTTGCTAGCTTTTTGAGAATATCCTTTTTCATTTAATCTTGAACACAGATACAAAATGTGGGTGAAAGAGGAATATTGTCAATATATATCATTGTACCATTATATTATAGTTCTATAAGTTAAAATTACAACAATAATAACTTTATCTCTATCACAAGTGAAACGGTACGGGTTCCCTTGTCCTCCTCTCAGGGCGTGTGATGGGAGTGTGGCTCGTTTCTTCAGCGCCCCGCTGCTCAGACCTCTAGAGGAGCATACAGACAGGCAGGCTGTGGGGCTCCGATCCCACGACAGTGTCTAGGGCTGACTGTTTACAGCTCCCGAAGCCCCAGTGGACGTGTGTGCTCCTGAAGCCCCAGCAGGCGTGTGTTACTGGGTGCTCTCTTAGTTTGCCGTCTATAGGCAGCTTGTGTTAGCTCAATTGGACCCTCTACCTTATCGCAAGGACAGAGGGCTTTCTGTATCCCCGGATTTCTCGCCTTGGTGTACCGGAAAAATTGGTCACACGTGGCTTGGAGAATGAGTGCAAAGTTGTATTGAGTGGAAGTAGCTCTCCGGTGATGGGGGAGCGAGAAGGGAGGTGGTTTTCCCCTGGAGTAGGGCAGCTCGGCGGCCCCAGCTCTCCTCCCACTGCCCCAGCCAAACTCCACCTTGTCCCGCTGGTCAATGGCCTGCCGGTGCCTGTCTGTGTGCTCTTCCCCCAGCGGGCTCTCCATGACCAGCCACCTGTGTCTTCTTCCCCGGATGTGTTCCTCAAATGTCTAGCGACTTCAGTGTGTCTGCCCGCTAGGGCCTGCGGGGGGCGGTTTTTATAGGCCCAGGTTGGGGGCGTGGCCGGCAAGGGTAGGCTTGGAAAATACAACATTTGGGCGGGAAAGCAGGAGCGCCTGTCCTCACCTAGATCCATGGGGGTAGAGCCGAGCCAGGGACCCGCCTTCCTCTACCCCTCACTTCCCTTCCCCACTTCCGTATCATTTAAAGGGACCACGCTCTTCCGTTCCCGGTACTCCCGTATCACAAGTGGGCTATGATATCATGTGGGAACTATTTGGTTGCAGTTACACTTATAAAACAAAAGCTACTTCTCCGTAAACTATAAAAAGCAGGTTTTTATCTCAGAAAGGATTGTTAATAATAAATGACCACTATTTATGGAGCTCTTGGATTCACAAGAAGTGAGTCACCAATGACAAATTACGTATCTTACGTCTCAGTGCTGAGAATAGTGCCTGGCACTTAGTAGGTACTTAGTAGATATTTGTTGAATAAGTAAATACTTCTTCTACAAGCCGGGTATTGCTTTAAGTCATGGTTACATCTGTCAAAGACAAAACTAAGTTCGAGACAAAATGAACAAAGGCTGTTTATTCATAAATTGATGGCAAGGGAACCCATCTGCTGTCAGTTTCGTTTCAGCAGGGTTCCCGGGTGTTAGAGAGGAGAGTGATTTTTATAGAATAAAAAAGGATAGGCTGAGACAGCCTCTGACTGCTGAGGGTTCTATAAAGGTGAGATTTCTGGAAGCCAGGGTGACTTTCTAATTGATCTTCAGGTACATTTGACTGCCCTTTGTTGGCTGGGAGGGAGCAAACAAGCAGTCTGGGGACATTCTGGAAATGAATGCTAGGAACAGAAGGTTTTCCGTGGCCAGCCATTTCCTGGAACATGTAGTGCTCAATGGGGTGCCTTTTTTACAGTCAAACTGTCAGGATGGTCCTTTATGAGAAGCTGACTGCTTGGGCCAGTTTCTAACATCTGGGTTCTCTCCCCGACTTCAATCTCTCTCTCACTCTTGCTCTCTCTCTCTCTCAAAAACAAAAACAAAAACAAAACAACAAACAAAAAAAACCTGTCACCTAATTGGCAAAAACCTCCTAGAAAAATAAAAATAAGTCAGTTTTAAATTGAAAAACATTATTACCACTCAAAAATCCTAAATGCAGTAAAAATAGGAGTGATATAACCTCATATGTTCACGAGAACTCATCTGATGCAAGTAAACCTGCATTTTTATATTCAAGTCTTATTTAATCATGGCTGTGGTCTTAGGACAAAGATAAGTTCAATATTTTACGGAAGTTTGATTGATAGCAGTGAAGCATTGTCCTAAAGATTCAGGAACACGCTTTTTATAGATGTTATTGGAGTGCAAAATAGCCACCTTAAAAAAAAAAAGCTTACAAGGATTCACAACCTTTCTAGTGGCTTTGTCTTTATTTATTCATTTATAAAGCAGCTATCTAGGGGGAGAGTATTAGTGGCCATGGGAAATTTTAAGTAGAAATTAAATAGACCTTTGGCTTCATGCCCAGAAAAATATGTCAGTCCTGTGCAGAAAACCAGGCAAAAGATAAAAAAGATTCCATTATATCTATAATACAATCTTCTTATGGCTTTAGTACAAGTTTCTTTTCTGCTAACAGAAGTCCCTGCAGAAGGTTTAAACAATCTCAACAATTTCATTATGTGAGCGTAGCTAAATCCAATAATGTAAAAGGGCCTAGAGAGCCTTCCCATATGCTTGGTTCCATACCCTTTCCTTCTAGGGGAAGTCAAAGAACTTGGCTCTCAGGAAGCTGATTCTACTCCAATTGCCCGCAGCACAAATCTTGCATTGTTGACATCGAGGAAGCTCTCCTGAGGACACACAAAGAAGAGAAGGAGCCATTAGAATTTCTCATGACCCTGCTTTGAGCCAAATCCAGCTTCACTTAAATGAATGAAAATGCTTGTTATATGGCCCAAGAAACTACTTTGTCCATTTGAAAATTAATTAGACCATAGCTAGATGAACAACCCTAAGATGCTTTCACAATGTTCTTAGATGCATGACCCTGGCTGAGTTCCCAATTTTAACAAGTTTATCCTAAAGCAAAAACTTGGCCTTTTGGCTAAGCTAGTGCTACAATTATAATGCTTTCCTGAGTGGTGGCAGCTAAAGCATAACCTCGCCAGAAAAGAGTTAGTTAGGAAGAGAGTAGTTAAAACTTTTGCATGCAAGCTAACAGAAGATATTTTAAAGGCATTTTTTTGTTGTTGTTTTGAGGAGCCAATTTAGTTATTCATTTCACAGCTGGGCTTGGAGAAAATGTTAAAATCTTATATATGTCATGATTCACTCCAGATTAAAACTCCTTGAGGGCACAGATTATGTTGTTCCTTGTAGTATTTTAAGTATAGTGGTACCAAAAGTTGGTAGATTGACTAGAAGCATAAAACACAGATTCAGATGTAAATTCTTTTTTCAAGGTGTCACACTGAGGATGTTCACGGCTGGTCATTGATAAGAGAGAATCTTCAGGTGTATAATATTCTGAGCCACTCCATCACAAAGAGACTAATAACTACTTTAAAAAGTAATCTATACATATACCTAACGTAAATGATGAGTTAATGGGTGCAGCACACCAACATGGCACATGTATACATACGTAACAAACCTGCAAGTTGTGCACATGTACCCTAGAACTTAAAGTATAATAAAAAATAAATAAAAAGTAATCAATACATTGCCCCATTTAAGAATGTCCTTAATAAATATTAGGGGTGATTGTATAACTGATGCTTAACTATCTATAATGTGGAATTGAGAGAGAGAAAATCAGAGTTGGATACACTGCATGAGAAATAAAATTCCACCCAAATTACCAAAAATAGAGAAATTATGGAAAGGGTGCCCAACTCACAACTTCTTTATTGATTAAAGAGAAAAAAGTCTTGCAAGGTGGCTCTATCCCTATCATAGCTGATCAGGACAAGGACAGACATCTCATTCCTGAGGAGCTGATTCATTGATAAATGACAACCAATTGCGTTCTCTCTGTGTCCCATTTGGGATCTCTCTAAATCTTTTCTGCACATGCTGTCTCTTTCTGGGGCAGCCAATTGAGGATCTTTGCATATAAATAAACACACGTGCCAGTTGACCTCTGTAGAGAAGCAGAATAATATATATATATGGTTCAGGTGTTGAGTCGGGGACAGAGACAAGAGGCCATGTCGGCTTTAGTTTTTTAATACAAAGGAAGATTATAAAAGTCTGAGAAAGAACGATGAAGCAGGCCACCTTGTATTCTTAAGAATTCGCTCCTCTTGCTCACCTGCCTCTGTACAATTTCTATGTTTTTGATATTTTGGGTGGAATTTTATTTTCAATGCAGTATATCCAACTCTGATTTTTTTTTTCTGCCCTCAACCCCATATTACAGATATTTAAGCATCAGTTATATCGCCATCCATAATATTTATTAAGGACCTTCCTAAATGTAGCAACCTACAGGTTACTTTTTAAAGTAGTTATCAGTCTCTCTGTGAGTGGAATGGCTCAGAATATCTCTCTGTTCAAATGCATAGACATCTGCAGATAAATGGTACTTTTGAATTTTTCCTAATGTAGCTCATCATTTTAGCAGAATTTTGACTGGCCTCCCTAATTCCAGATTATTTCTATTTCCTTGTATGACCTTAACTGGGGACTGATCAGCATCCTTTTTTATGTCCCCCCAAAGAATGTCTTCTGGGTCTGGGCTCTCAAAAATCTCACGTGGTTAGAAATCTTTGGGTGGTGCAGTACCACAACTCTGAATAAAGAGACATTAAATACCTCCTCTTATGCTGTATATTGATAAGGACTTGTGTTGATCTATATACATCTGGGTCAAAACAGAATACTTTGAATTTAGTTAAAGAAGTCATATCGTTTCCTTTTGTGGAGGCACATGACATCTCCAGAATGAAATCTTTCCCCAAATGACATGACAGCATTAGCCACTTTTTTTTTTTTTCTTGAGATTGAGTTTTGCTCTTGTTGCCCAGGCTGAAGTGCAATGGCATGATCTCAGCTCACTGCAACCTCTGCCTCCCAGGTTCAAGCGATTCTCCTGCCTCAGCCTCCCTAGTAGCTGGGATTACAGGCATGTGCCACTATGCCTGGCTAATTTTTTTTTTTTTTTTTTTTTTTTTTAGTAGAGACGAGCTTTCTCCATGTTGGTCAGGCTGGTCTCAAACTCCCTACCTCAGGTAATCCACCCACCTCAGCCTCCCAAAGTGCTGGGATTATAGGCGTGAGCCACCACGCCCGGCCAGCATTAGCCACTTTTAGTTTATCTGAAACCCGCTGGAGGTCGCCCCTGCTTGCAAGGAGAAAGGGTTCTGGGCCCATAACTTGGTTTCCTTAAGGCATGCTTAAATGCTTGGCTTCTCCAGATTTGCTGAGATGCCCCTTTATCGTTTCAATGAACTCCCCCTTACTTGGGCTCACTCATGTTGAATTCTGTCCCCAGGATTTTGAAGTGCTTTCACCATCTGCCCAAACAACTAAAACTTTCACAGAACGTTTAACAAGTATCCGAAACAGTAGATGGTTTCAGTTCCTATCTTCTGTATTTCCTCTTCCACTTGGAGGAGAACTGACAGGGATCATCTTCAAAAAGTGGGGTTGACTAATGAAAGTTTAAGAAAGCACTACAGAGGCTCCCAGGCTGGCTAACAGGTTCTATGTGAACCATGATGGATTAAACAGAAAGCCTTATATGACAAATATGCAAACACAACTTATCACACTCAAATTAAAGTGGTAAATATAAAAATATAAATATAACAATAATAGACACATTTTCTGTGGTGCTTTACAGTTTTCAAAGCACTTTAAAATACCTTATCATGGTTCATTCTCACAACAGACTAGGTGGGAGGGAGGCAATTTATGCCCAGATTGCAGGTGGAGAAACTGATCTTCCAAGAGGCGAAGAGACCTTGCTGGAAGAACAAAGCTGAATCGTGGGTAAGGGCACACGTGGTACAGTCAGAGACTGGGGTTGGAATTTTGGTTCCCACTTTTTATTAGCTGAATGGATTGGGACAAATTATTTAATCTGTCTATGCCTTGATTTATTTATCTGGAAAATTGAACAAAATGCTGAGCACTGCTGTGAGAGCTACAGATGCATGATTCTCCCAACAACCCTATATAAAGTAGGATACCCATTTGACAGATAAAGAAACCGAGGCAAGCAAAGATTCAGGAACTTGCTTAAGATTACACAGAGTAAGTGGCAGAGGCAGGCTGCAAGCCCAGGCAATGTGCTACCATTGTACAGCCTCCGTACCTCTTTCATTGGTTGGTGAGAGGAGTAAATAACACCATGAATTGACTGTAAGTCTAGCATAGTGAGAGTTCAATATGCACTAATAATCCATTCCTATTTGTAAAGAGCCCCTCTTACTTACTGGCTGTCTTTCACTATAGAATGGAAGCTCCACAAAGGCAAAGGTAATGGATTTGTTCACCATTATGTAATCAAGGTCCCTGGGTTTCAGAGTATACACTGGGAAAAAGTACCTATTTGTAACTGTTACACCTTGAGTTCTTGTTGTTTCATGAATGTTCCAGGAAGAAGCTCAGCCCTGGAATAGCAAAAATGGGTTGGATCCAGAGATGCCTGAGTTAGACATGAACTTTAGTGAACTCCCCTCATTGCCCTACTAAAAACCCTGCCCAGGGAGGAGCTTATTGGCCATTTTCTATACACGTGATGTATGTGGAAGCATGATCAGTGACTGCACACACGCTGTGGTGACGCCAGCTCTACATACAATGACTCAGCTAACAAGCCCAAGAAAAGCCCTGTTTTTACCTTTGTTTGGAGAGCTACTGCTTTGGGAACTATGCCCAGTGCCCTCCTTACCTGTTGTAAGTAATAGTAATAATATCTGTTTAATAAATCCTTCTCGGTTGTGGTCATCTGACTATCACCCACCAAGCAATGGAACCCACCCATGAGTGACAATATGAGCCCTAGAACATAAAATGGTACAAAATGGGGGCTTGGAAAATTAATAGTTGAGGGAATGAATGAATGAGTAAATGCGACTTATATTTTGAAGTCTTTTTGGAAGTTGAGGAAGGAGGGGGCCAGAACAGAAGCATGAGTTATTATCCCTAAGCGTATTCTCCAAAACAGATACACTTCAACAATTTTAAAGAAATACCATTAATGTAAAAATTAAGGCTCTGATGAAAAGCATCTTTGGAATCAGAGTGAAATATACAATTGAAGCTTCAGAGGTCAGACCTTAAGACACATAGAAAGGTGGTAGAGGGCTGTTTTGTGTACGTGTGCACTTGCTCACCCACCAATGTTGCAAACCCTGCCTCCTTCTTCCCCCATCCTCCTCCAGTCTTGCATGCACCCCACCACAGCCTCTGTACCTCAGAGGAGAGAATTTGGCTGCACCCCTGGGCACAATAAACCAGTCTGAGGGCTGAATGGATCTTAAACCTCCTGAGTCCTATCTCAGTTTTCTATCACCCCTTATGACCTTAAATGCCCCCCAAAGAATTTCATAAATAGACTAGGATCCAAATTAAAGAACTAGATTGAACTTAGGCAGAAAAGTGAGAGTGTCCTTTAAATGCCAATAGGCATTGCCTTTGGCATAACAAAGGAGTTAAAACATAATTAAGATCTGAAGACTGATTACAGGAATGTGTATGATTATTTTTATTATTTTTCTTCTTTCTATCTTTGTGATAGGATGTGATCAACCTCTGCCATGCTCCGTTGCTTAGTAGCAGACAGTCAGAGTTTTAATTATATACTAAAATAAGCTAAAGAACAGAAAACTGCTTTATGTCTAATACGTATATATCAAGAAAGGCATGTGACAGCATCTAAATTGCTTTAGTGCCTGATAAAGAGTGTCTCCGGTAGGGTTGTCATCAAAAGATCACGACTGGAGTAGGAAAGTATTATTAATAAAGCTGCTACTCTCTTTATATGTCCTCCATTGTTTGTGATTCCTTGTTAGAAGCTAGAAATGAATTTTTATCTACCACTAATTTCATCAGGTTTTTTTTTTTTTTGAGTCTGGGAGAAAAAAAAACTTTTGTCAATTCCACTGCCAACCCTAGTTCTCCAAATAGAATTCTTTTCACTCCTCCAGATCTGCAATTCCCAAAATATTATATCTCGCAATAAAAAATTAAAGAAATAGTTCATTCATTCTTTTAACATTCAACAGAGCAATGTTCCAGCAGCAAACCCCAGAGGAGTCTCTGCCCTCATAGAGATTAGATTTTAAGGGGAGGGAAAGATAATGAACAAGTAAAACAATGAAAAGATAATCAGAGACTACAACCAGGGTTATAAAGAAAATGAAATATACTTCATAGGATTAGGTTTAGCTGCAAGTGACAGAAGATTCAAAATCATTTGGCTTTAACCAAGCCTGTGTTGTGATTCAGCCTATATATAGGGGCAGCTACAATTTTTTAACACTGGCATCAATTCTGATTGACCAGTGCCCTATTTTGTTCGGTTGGAACAGGTTTATATGCTGGAGCAGTTGCTATATAAGTTGAATGTTAATTGTAGCTTAGGAAGTTTATTTCTCTCTTTCTCACATTAAAGGTCAGAGATAGGTTCTTCAAGTATGCATAAGGCAGCTTCATGAATTCATCAAAGATCCAGATTTGTTCATCATTCTCAACGTATGCTTTCTACCTCGTAGACCAAAGATGGCTGCTTGGCCTTCAGCCATTACATCTGCATAGAGGACAAAGGTGAGAAGAGGGCCATATCTCCTCCCTGTAAGGGTAATTAGTGTTTTGTCCCAACAGTAAGAATGTAGTTTGTGACTGAAGGGAAAGCTGGAATAGGAAGACATCATTCTAGTTGGCCATAGGCTTACCTAGAAATTAGGTAGCAATTCGATTGCTAAGGAAAAAGGGAGAGCAGGCAGGTAGTTGAGATCACCAAACAGAGTGACGTGATAGGGAGTAACTGATACAGAGGGGCCTGCTCTAAATAGGGGAGTCAGAGGCCTTCTTAGGAGCTAACAACTGAGCTGAGACCTACAGGATGCCACTGAGCCAACCATATAAAGTGGGAGGAAAAGACTTCAGGCAGAAAGAATGTCTCATTTCAAAATAGACTGGACTTTTGCTCATGGAATGATTTTAACCTCACTTCATAATAATACTATGCAGCTGTTAAATTTCCCTGGGCTGGGATTATAACCTGTTTTCCTCCTAATTTTTAGTTCTCCAAACTCTGAGGCATGTTACATTATACGGATTTTTGAGTTATTGAAAAAAATCAACTGATGCCTGTCTGTAATTTGGCAGCTGGTAGGAAGATGGTTGAGAACATATTTAGTAGTAAAATATTAATATTATTTGATATATTACTTAGGGTTGTGTCTATGTGGGGGCATTGGACAGAGGTAGCCAAGCCAAATAAAGTGTGCGTGTACTATGTCTTTGAAACCACCATGAGTGGTGTAAACAACATGTTAGGTTCAGACAAAACTACTTACAAATTAGGATATTAAATCACAACTCACATTACAATAACGTGATTTGGTTTGATGTTCACTGGAATAGAGCTGATCATATGGAACTAATGTAATGTTTTGTGTGAATGTCGCATTAGTTATGCATTTGTTATGTGATTTTCGTGGGTGCCAGAATGTAATTCTTTGGAATAAACAGAAGAGACTAGTGGCATTAAAGCCTAAGGCTAGAAAGGGGAATTTATTTTCATTAAACTTTCCCATACCATAATTAAGGTGACATTATATCCAGTGCATTTTCTAAATGAATATCTTATACTGACATCAAACAAAAGAAGAAATTGGCAATACTATTTATTACTGGAGATCTCATGTGAACAAAGATCACTATAAAGTAAGTGGTTTTTGTCTAAATATATTATGTGGTGGCAGCATGCTCTATTCCAGAATATAGAGATGGTGTGCATGGATACATGTGTATGTGTTTCAAAGCTTTCTCTTTTGTCTGTTGACCAACTCACAGAAGGAGAAAATTGCCACAGGAATCATTATGTGTTTGAATGAAGAACTCTAAGAGCGTACTTCTTCCAAACTGACCAGATTTCCCACACATTGGCATGTGTCTAGCTATGAACCTAAGACCAAGTCTATGAAACAAAGAAATCATGTCTGTTGTAAAGCTGTTTGAATGTGAGCTTCGTTTTCAAGGGCAAAGACTACATCCTTTTCATTTCTGTAACCCCAACTTTGAACACAATGTTTGTCCTATAGTAGGTGCTCAGTAAGGTTTAAATGAATGAATGGCAACTCCCATTTGTAACAATTTCCATTTACCTAATAGCTCTCTTAGTCCCTTTCAATGCATTTAACAAGGATCTAATATATAATATAATTTCAAGACAACAGAAATTAGAATTGATAATGAAACCAATGCCATATAGTATTTATTCTATTGTATGCACCCACCTCTCTCTGGAAATCTCTATCAGTGTGAAACATTAAGTATATGTGACCCTGAATCACACAGTACACATTCAGGTGTGCTTTTTTTGCTTTATTTTTCTAGAATTAGAACCTACCACCTCTTATTAAGGAGATGGAAGGTTAATCTTTGTCATTTGGGCTTCTCTTTCCTTTTCCATGAATTTTTATGTTTCAGGGGGAGCTTGTTGAAGAGAACATTGAGGGAGCAAGGCATTTGGTCCACAATGCCATCCTCTTTTATCCTTGGTGAAAAGCCCATAGGAGTCTTTCTCGACTCCCTCTGCAAGGTCTTTTCATGATTGGCTGTTTCCTTCTTTAATTCCAGGTCTTTCTAAGTGGGTGGTTAGGCTGCTAAGGCCTCATCCTACCTAAATACAGTCATTTTTTTCTTCAAGGTATTGCCACTTCTCCAGGGACTACATCTCCACGGACCTAGGAACAGCCTCAGGTCCTTTCTGCTCTCAGGTCCCATAAAACTATTTGGGATTTTTACTCTCTCCCTAAAGCTTTGACCTAAGTCATAGTGCACAGAGCTCATCTGTCTGCTACCCACCAATATTTCTGTTCTCATTACTCTCTCTCGGACTTTTTCTTCTCCCCTAACTGGGAACTCATTCTGAAGTTTCTTGAGGGAATCTTTGTAACCAAATATTTGTGCTTCAGTGTTTTTTCTACTTTTCTAGGAGGAGCTGCCTCTGTTTCCTACTGTCTGAAGGTACATTCCTTCTCTAAGTCCATAAAACAGAATAATGTGAGCTTCACAAAGTTGAGGATAGACCAAGGAGGAAGTTATAATATGGAGGGAAATTCTGGTTAGTATTATACAAATATTATTCTACCTAATGGCTCTTCTGTAGGCAGGTAGAGCTGGTGCAAAAAAAAAGGATGTGAGGTGGGGCTTGTGGAGTGGGCAGTGACAGGGAATGCCATCTGGGCTGTGTGAAGAGCAGCAAAGATTACCAGAGGGGGCCGGGCGCGGTGGCTCACGCCTGTAATCCCAGCACTTTGGGAGGCCGAGGCGGGCGGATCACGAGGTCAGGAGATCGAGACCACGGTGAAACCCCGTCTCTACTAAAAATACAAAAAATTAGCCGGGCGCAGTGGCGGCCACCTGTAGTCCCAGCTACTCGGGAGGCTGAGGCAGGAGAATGGCGTGAACCCGGAAGGCGGAGCTTGCAGTGAGCGGAGATCGCGCCACAGCACTCCAGCCTGGGCGACAGAACGAGACTCCGTCTCAAAAAAAAAAAAAAAAAAAGATTACCAGAGGGATGATTAGAGTTCAGATTTTAGGGTTGAGAGTTTATCAAAGTTATACAGAGCTTGAGGAAGATTAGGGACCAGTAATCACGAAAACTTGGAGAATAAGTGCTATAGATAAAATGGAGATAGCTATATAGGAAGAAAGTTTTTAAAAAGAAGGGAAAAAGACTGGGCGCAGTGGCTCACGCCTGTAATCCCAGCACTTTGGGAGGCCCAGGTGGGCAGATCACCTGAGGTTGGGAGTTCGAGGCCAGTCTGACCAACATGGAGAAACCCCGTCTCTACTAAAAACACAAAAATTAGCCGGGCATGGTGGCCCATGCCTGTAATCCCAGCTACTCAGGAGGTTTAGGTGGGAGAAGCGCTTGAACCCGGGAGACGGAGGTTGCAGTGAGCCGAGATCATGCCATTGCACTCCAGCCTGGGTAATAGGAGCAAAAACTTCGTCTCTAAATTAATTAATTAATTAATTTAATTTAGTTAAATAAAAAGAAGGGAAAAAAATCTGAAATCTTTGACACTTCTCCTATCCAGAGTGGAGTTTACCTCCCCTCCCCTTGAATCAGAAAGGGCTCATGATTGCTTGGAGCAGCAAAGTATGGTAGACTGCTCCCTGACTTCCGAGGCCAGGTCATCAAGGGCCTTGCAGCTTCTGTCTGGCTTTTTGGAACACTCGCTCTGGGGTTGCTCCCACTGAGGAACCAGCCACCATGGAGAAAGAAACCCAAGCCACATGGAAAGGCTACATGTAGGCGCTGTGGTCAACAGTCCCAGCTGAGCCAGGTCTTTGAGTCATTCCAATCAAGGCATCAGACTTGTGAGTTGAAGGAGCCTCCAAAAGATTCTAGCTCCGAGTCGTTGAGTTACCACTCTCTGTTGGAGTCTTCTCAGCTGAGTCCCCAGACACCATGGAATAGAGATGAGACAAGCAATTCCCCCTGAGCCCTGTTCACTTCCTGACCCACAAAATCTGTGGACGTAACAAAATGCCTTTTGTTTTATGCTGCTGTTTTCGGCTGCTTTCTTATATATGAATGGATACGTGAAACTGTCAGGAAGCAAATAAGAAAAATACTGGAAAATTTGTAGGTTGGAGCTACCCATAGCTGGATTAGAAAGACAGTCCAAAATCAGCCTCTGTGGCACAAGAAGAGGTAACATTTATTGAATGTTAGCCTGAAACAGGCACAGGTCCTTTGACATGTATTAATGCGTTTATCCTTGCAACTGTCTGCAACAAGGGATATTATTTAGTGCCTTTTTATAGATGAGGAAAAGAGAAGTTAAATACCTTGCTCAAGGTTATAAGGTGTGAATGGAGAGCATAGAATTAAAACTCAGTCTGTCTCCAGCATCCGTGTTCTTCACCACAACATTATAGAACCTACTGTGATTCAGAACTTGTGTGGACCCTGCAGAAAAATCCACAGACTTATGAATGTTCCATTAACATATTTGATAAAAGAAAAACAACTATTAGCCTTTCCCCTTATGAAACTCTATTTTAAAGCTTCATCTTTTTATCACTGAAAAATGAAGTTTGGCTTCTTATACCTTTTTAAACACTGTGATCAAATGCCGTTTGGACTTTACAACCTCTAACCAAGATACGATGGCTAGTAACAGAGTTATTTTTGACAGAGATAAGACAACTATTGTTTGAAGGAAAACGTTATGGTACAAACACAACTGAAGAGAAAATAGCAACAGTCATCAAGTGTTGCCAAGTGTGGAAATAGTGTTTTCTATATTTTTTCTCATTAATTTTCACTCCAACCCTCTGAGATGGGCATTTTTACTTCCATTTTCTAGATAAGGAAACTGAGATTCAAAAACCTGAAATTATTTGTCTAAGGTTACATGATAAGTGATCTATCCTTCTAATTCAAAACCTTGTGTTCTATCTGTGCTTGGTGTCTTAAACAACAAAGGCAGGCAAACAACTCTTGTTAACTATCCAAAGTTCTCACAAGGGTTTCTTCTCTGTAGGATAACTCATAGGCTCTATGTAGAATTACATGTATTTTTAAGATGTTGCATTAACCAGGTTGAGGATTTCATAAGCCAAGAATCTTTCATCAAAATCTGAATAAACAATGTTGGGATCTCAATCTTTAAAATTATAAAAGAAAGGTAATTTTAATAATAAAAATGATAAAGTATATTCATGCAGAATAAAGGGCACTTCTTTAAACTAAGCACTTTTAGGTTTATGGAAGGCTCAAACAGTTGTCCTGATTTTTCTCACTTAACCATAAATACTTGTAGATGAATGTCATGCTTTGCACAAGCGCTATTTTGTGGAATGGTATTTGGAAACCGATTGTTTAGCTGACTTTGATAAATGCTTTTAGTTTTGTTTTTGCTCATGTGCATGCACTCATGCGTACATGAGTGCTTGTGCATGGGCAGGCAAGCGAGTGTGTTGCCAGAATAGAAAAAGACGTCAATATTACTAGCTGATTTATATTTTAACTGGTGGCTCATAGCACACCATTATTGAACACAACTCAACGAAATAACTAAACTAGGTTAGTCTAGCATTTTCAGTTAAATGCAAAGGCCTAATCATTAAACGCAACCAACATCCTTATTGAAATTCTAGTACAATCTCATGGCAAAAAAAAAAAAGAAAAACCAACAAACACAAACGTAACCAGTGTTTATGAAATAGAATATCATTGTCTTATCGTAACAATATTTCATCTTCAGACAACATTTACTTGGTTTTTGACAAATGAAGAAGCAATCTATTAGTCAAGAGTTGTCCTTGGGGAAACTTGAATGAAAACACTATTCTGTTTCTGGTCTCATTACAATTGTGGTAAAGTTGAATATTTCTTTCCCCTCTCCTTCCTAACTTAAATTTTGCTGTATCCCCAACATTCACACCCAGAGCTCAGGAACAAACTTAACCCCAGCAGCCCCCGCCCAAAGTCTGATATCCCTTCCAACTTGCCCTCTTCATCTCTAACATTTGT
This sequence comes from Homo sapiens, assembly GCF_000001405.40. Classification (NCBI taxonomy): domain Eukaryota; kingdom Metazoa; phylum Chordata; class Mammalia; order Primates; family Hominidae; genus Homo; species Homo sapiens. Next base: position 69,985,998 of record NC_000003.12, on the reverse strand, counting down.
TTCCAACCCAGCTTCCTACTTTGGCTCTACTCTGCAGCATCCCATTCCAGGTAGAAGTTTGTGGAGCAATCTTCTCCCTACCTTAAAACAGCTATTCTCCAGCCTAAAGCAATGTATCTTGTTTCTCTCTGCTTTCTTTTCTCCAATTTTTTAATTAGAAAAATTTCACAAAACATAATGTTTATCATCTTAAAATGTACAATTCAGTGGGTTTTAGTATATTCACAGCAATGTGAAACCATAGCCACTGTCTAATTCCAGAACATTTTCATCACCTTCAAAGAAACTTGGACCCATTAAACAGGTACTCCTCAATCCCCCTCCCCACATCCCTTCTCCCTCCCTACCTTCTTGAGCCAACTAATAGCTTGTCTTCGCTGAACCATGAATCCCAGTGTAGTAAATGCACATCTAGCTTCTGTAACTTGATGTTTTCACATTTGTCTTATAGGCATATGTTGGACATGCCTTGTCCTGGGCAACCTGGTAGTATGTTTGAGTCACCTTGCCTTGGCTCCCCGCCTCCCCCATCACCCCTCCCCACCCTTTGGGAGGAGTCCTCCTCCCATGAGTTTACTTTTCAATGTAAACCAGCCAATCCAGACTTTACACTTCTAGCCGCCTATCTTGTTGGGCTCTTACATTCCTGGCCACTATCCACCTGCCCCAACCATTCCAAGGACAGTATTAGAAAATTAGGGACAACCTCTATACCCCAGAGCCCACGGAAATGATTCAAACTGGCCAATTCCAGGTCTGCTTGTTTGCTTTTCCCATTCCCTCCCATAAAAACCACAATAGAGGCTCTTGCCTGTAATTCCCTACTCTGTCTTGTGACCTACCCTGGTGCTTCCCCATGTGGCCCCTATGGCATGGAGTGGCACCCACCTGAATCTATCTTTTCAATGGCAATTGTCTCCTCATCTGTTGGTCTTATCATACCTCAAAATCGCAAGTACACTATACTCTAAAACACTCTGTTGCCATCTCTCTTGCTGGCCTCACTGAACACAAAGTCAGGAAACAAGGTACTAGCGTATGCTCTGCCACAGAGCAGCTGTGTGATCTTAGAGATGTCTGTTAATCTCTCAGGTCCATTTGTTTATCTGTCAAGTGATGAGCACTTCTTAACATTTTGTAACACATATCCCACTTTTGGAAACAGCAGAATCTTACACCTCTATTCCCCTCCTCTGCGTATGTGTCTTCACACTCAAGAAGTGGTACCTCCACACTTCCCCAATAAAAAGATCTTTCCTTTCTACATTATTAAATAGCTACTTTTGCTTTTTGAAGTAAAAAAGTTATACTATTTACTATACTTTTTTAAAACTCTGCACCCTGTCTTGTAAATCATTGGAAGAGGTGCTTCTAATTTCTCTCCAAATTCTGAAATTCTATTCAGAACATATTCAAAAATATTACTTGAACTGTTACACATGAGCATTCATTTACTCATCCATTCAAATATTTATTGGTTAAATACTGGGTACACAAAAAAGAAAGGCATAGGAATAACTGGTATTGAAGTGTTCTGGATCCAGATTGAGAAATAACTATGTTCTCTTTTTTTTGTAGGTTTAATGTAGGAATGCTCCCAAGGATAGATTACGTTTTAACATGGCACACATTTTTTCCTTTGTTTGTTTTTGGAGGTGACAGAGAAGCTACCTACTTGTGGTCCTGAAATTGGGCCAAATAATGCACTTTAGTAGCATCTTATTGGGTAAGAAAATTTGTGAACCAGATATATCCTCCTAAACGCATGCTTTTTTCACCAAGTAGATTGGAGCTGGAAAATAGGTTTCACATTCAGAAACAACTGTGATCAATCAGCTGTGGCTGCCAAGAACACATCTTTATGACTTGTGAAGCCATGTTCAGGCTCAGAGAGATACTGTAGCCACTGATTAGTAATGCCAGCCATGAAAGTGGTTTCAGGAAGTGGTGATGTGAGAACCAAGGGTGGTGTTTTTGTCACCCTTGAGCTAGATTTTCAATAGCAGAGAAAGTTTGCTCATGCTCCTTACTACTCAGAAACACTAGTAGAGACTGGGTATGAGAAAAAGTGGAAAGCTACGGTGATGTTAGACATTGCTAGGGCAGGATCCTTCTCGCACATTAAATTTGTTGGGAGATGTCAACTTTCGGGGGGCAGGAGAGATCTGAACTTAGCAAGTTAACACATATCTCATAGCCAACCGCCCCCACAGAAAGTTAAGAAAAGTATCATTATAACTATCCTTTTCTACAGTGAATCATAGCATTTGTGGTAGTTTTATTTCTTGTATAATTTTCAATTTTGAACAATGTGTATAGGTATAACACTCCATAGTCAGCAGTTTCTCATCTCAAACTAGATATGATTAAAGAAAAAGTTCATCTGACAATGAAAGAAATAAATATTAAATACTATTATCCAGTCTTTTATACTAATCCCAACAAACAGATAAAATCTGCCTGCAGGTTTCACTAACCAAAGTAAGATATGCATCCCATGTTTTTTGCTTCCCACTGTTACAAAAGAACAACTACATCTCATTAGCTTTGTTTAGGAAACATACAAAATCCTTAGATACCTTTTAAATTCAAATTCAGCTATTCTTATTCAAGCTACAAAGGGAATGTAATTTGTTTTTGCTTAAGCAGAGAAAACCTCATTAATTTAGATTATCTGAGTAGTAAGGCTAGTAGGGAATAGTGAAAATTCTGAATTAATATCATTCAAGAAAAGGATGAAGAGGAGCAGCAGGAAAAAGAGAAGGAAGAGGAGGAGAAAAAACTCCTTTCTTATAACTGCAGCGTATAATATATGTGTCCGCATAGCTAAGCTGTTATTACAAAAGATCCTATACACACACACACACACACACACACACACACACACACACACACACAGGGGAGCTTGTTAAGTATTAACTCACATGATCACAAGGTTTCACAATAGGCCGTCTGCAGGCTGAGGAGGAAGGAGAGCCAGTTCGAGTTCCAAAACTGAAGAACTTGGAGCCCAATGTTTGAGGGCAGGAACCACCCCACACGGGAGAAAGATGTAGGCTGGGAGGCTAGGCCAGTTTCTCTTTTTCACACTTTTCTGCCTGCTTATATTCTAGATGCACTGGCAGCTGATTAGATTGTGCCCTCCAGATTAAGGGTGGGTTTGCCTTTCCCAGCCCACTGACTCAAATGTGAATCTCCTTTGGCAACACCATCACAGACACACCCAGGATCAATGCTTTGCATCCTTTAATCTAATCAAGTTGACACTCAGTATTAACCATTTCAAGTCCACCCTTTGTTAACTTGAACCCAGACACGTCTCCTAAGATTGTACATAATCTTCAAATAAAGACAATAATGAGGTCATAATTACCCCTAACATAATACAACTATCCTTCATACAACGGCAAATGCACCAATACCCTACTCAAATACTGTTACATAAAGTTAACAATACTTAAATGCTTATATAAAGTCAATAAATCTTATGTCACATGATAGGGGAGAAAGGAAATAAAATGAAGATATTTTCTTAGTGCAAGTGTATACTTGCCCAAACATGTTTTTAGCAAAAGGAGGAGGAAATACTCATGACAATTACTGTCCTCGTTTCTAGAGATGGTCACGTAGTGGTAGCTGGTATTAATGATCACCTTCTTCTAATACACATTCTGTATTCCCTTGGCCTTCAGCAAGCATCTCAGTAGGTCGTGTTTTTTTTTCCTGGTGGAGTGACCCAAACCTTCATTCCTGAAGGGTCTGGGTCATTTGTAGTCCTGCCTGGATTGGGCTGTTATAGTTTCCCATTGGCCTTAATCAGAGGACATGGTAATACTAAGAGATGCCCAGTGGATCGCCTGTATTCCATTCATACTCTTCCTTACCTCCATTGTGGAGTAGTAGACTGATTTCATCTTGATAGCCTGGGTCAATCACCCCAGCCAACACTATAGCTCCCTTCTTAGCCTGTTGACTTAAAGGTAGGGAGGGCTCAAAGTGTTCAGGTGGCAATCTTAATTTCCAGTTTAATACAAATGTTGTTTTGTCTCCTGGTGGCAGCATTCCTCCCTCTGGAACTAAGACCTCTAGGCCGGCAGAATATAATGTCGCGGAAACAGGAAGGAAAAATTTTGCTAGTGGATCACTAGGGGTGATGGTGAGTGGTGCCATTTCCACTTCCACCCCTTGATTCCTGGACCCATGAATTCTGGCTATGGGAGAAACAGTGCTATACATTGGGCGCTGATTCATAGCATACACAGCCTTCTGGAGAACTTTGCCGCAGCCTTGCAAAGTATTGTCACCTCGTTGGCACTGTAATTGTTACTTCAAAAGGCCATTTCATTGATCTATCAATCCACCTGCTTCAGGATGATGGTAAGGCCAGTGAATTCCATGAGCCCACTGCCACACTCCTTTAGCTGTAAAGTGAGTGCCTTGGTCAGAGGCAATGCTGTATGGAATACCATGATGGTGGATAAGGCATTCCATGAGCACATGGATGGTAGTCTTGGCAGAAGCACTGCGTGTAGGATACACCAACCCATATCTGGAGTAAGTGTCTATTCCAGTGAGGACAAACCTCTGCCCTTTCAATGATGGAAGAGGTCCAATATAATCAATCTGCCACCAGGTACCTGGTTGATCACCGCAAGTAATGGTGCCATATCGATGGCTCAGGGTTGGTCTGTGCTGCTGGCAAATTGGGCACTCAGCAGTGGCCGTAATCAGGTCAGCCTTGGTGAGTGGAAGCCCATGTTGCTGAACCCATGTGTAACCTCCATCCCTGCCACCATGGCCTCTTTGTTCATGGGCCCATTGGGCGGTGACAGGGGTGGCTGGGGAAAGAGGCTAGTGGTGTCCACAGAATCCTATCCACCTGATTATTAAAATTCTCCTCTGCTGACATCACCTGTTGGTGAGCACTCAAATGGGATACAAATATCTTCCCAGTTTTTGACCACTCAGAAAGGTCCATCCACATACCTCCTCCCCAAATTTCTTTGTCACCAATTTTCTAATCATTCTTCTTCCAAGTCCTTGACCATCCAGCCAAACCATTGGCTACAGCCCATGAATCAATATATAATAGCACATCTGGCCATTTCACCTTCCATGCAAAATGCACAACCAGGTGAACTGCTCAAAGTTCTGCCCACTGGGAAGATTTCCCTTCACCACTGTGCTACAGGGATATCCTAGAAAGGGGCTGTAGTGCTACAGCTGTCCACTTTCGGGTGATGCCTGCATGTAGTGCAGAACCACCTGTGAACCAGGCTCTGGTCTTCTCTTCCTCTGTCAACTGATCACGGAGAACTCACCATGAGGTCATTGGTGCAGGCTGGGAAAGAGAAGGCAGGGAGGCAGGAGTGGAGACCATGGGCATTTGAACCCCTTCCCCATGTAACTTACTTGTGCCTTCAGGACCTGCTCAAACCCAATTATATATCTACCACTTCCATTTGATGATGGAATGCTGCTGTGCATGGCCCACTTTATGGTTAGATAGATCAGAAAGCACCCAGATCATGATAAGCAGTTCAGGTTGCATGGTGACTTGATGATTCATAGTCAAACGTTCAGTTTCCACAAAAGCCCAGTAATAGGCCAAGAGCTGTCTCTCAAAAGGAGAGTAGTTATCTGCAGAAGATGGCAGGGCCTTGCTCCAAAATCCTAGAGGCCTCCACTATGATATACCTACGGGGGCCTGCGAAAGGCCCCAAAGAGCATCCTGTCTGCCACTGACACCTCAGGCACCATTGTTTCTGCTGTGTCATGTGTCCCAAGTGGCAGAGCAGCTTACACAGCAGCCTGAACCTGTTGCAGAGCCTTCTTCTATTCTGAACCCCACTCAAAACTGGCAGTCTTTCGGGTCACTCGATAAACGGGCAAGAGTAACAAACACAAATGAGGAATGTGTTACCTCCAAAATCCAAATAGGCCCACTAGGTATTGTGCCTCTTTCTTGGCTGTAGGAGGGACCAAATGCAGCAACTTATCCTTAACCTTAGAAGGGATATCTCAACAGCCCCCATACCACTAGTCCCCTGGAAATTTTGCTGAGGTAGAAGGTCCCTGAATTTTAGTTGGATTTACTTCCCATCCTCTGGCACACAAATGTCTCACCAATAAGTCCAGTGTGTTTGCTACTTCTTGCTCACTGGATCCAATCAGCATAATGTCATCAATGTAATAGACCAGTGTGATATCTTGCAGAAGTGAAAAGCGATCAAGTTCTCTCCGAATAGGATTATGACACAAAGGAGGAGAGTAGAGATACCCCTAAGGTAGGACAGTGAATGTATATTGCTGGACTTACCAGCTGAAGGCAGACTGCTTCTGGTGGGCCTTATGGACAGGAATGGAGAAAAAGGCATTTTCCAAGTCAATGGCTCCATACCAGGTACCATGAGTTGTGTTAATTCACTCAAGCAATGAAGCCACATCTAGTACAGCAGTTCCAATTGGAGTCATCACTTGGTTAAGCTTATGATAATCCACTGTCATTCTCCAAGATCTAGCTGTCTTCTGCAGAGGCCAAATGGGATAGTTGAACAGGGATGTGGTGGGAATCACCACCCCTGCATCTTTCAAGTCCTTGATGGTGGCACTAATCCCTGCAATCCCTCCAGGGTACAATATTGTTACTCATTTACTATCTTTTGAGGTAGAGCCAGCTCTGATGGCTTCCATTTGGTCTTTCCCACCATAATAACCCTCACCCTATCAGTCAGGGAGTCAATGTGGGGGTTCTGCCAGCTGCTAAGTATGTCTATGCCAACTCTGCATTCTGGCACTGGGGAAATGACCACAGGAAGAGTCCGGGGAACCATTGGACCCACTGGACACACTGGACCCACTGTAAGTTGGACCTGAGCTAAAACATCATTAATTACCTGACCTCCATAAACCCTACTTTAACTGGAGGACCACAGTGATGTTTTGGGTCCTTTGGAATCCAAGAGCCAGTGTCCAGCAGTCCCCTAAATGTCTGATCATTTCCCTTTCCCCAATGCACAGTTACCCTGGAAAAAGGCCAGAGGTCTCCATGGGGAAGTATGGGAGAAATATTCACTGTATAAATTGTTGGTAATGTAGTGGGGTCCTTCCTCAAGGGGACCTGGCCTCCCCTTCATTCAAGGGGTTCTGGGTCTGTAAACTGGCTCAAGTCTGGGAATTGACTGAGGGGCCATGAGTCTCTGTTTTCATAATTCAAATTAGTCTTTTGTCCATTTGACCTAGAAGTTTTCTGCTTGTATAAATTAAGTAGGAATGCAGTAGGCTTCCTATCAATTTCACTTGTAGGAACACTGTGATTAATTAGCCAATGCCAGAGCTCTACAGGAGTCAGACTATTCTGATTGCTGCTTTGCCTCTGCTGTCCATTATGGTAGCTATACCCACCTTGCCTTTGACAGTTGAGTGCCACCACTTGGCCTCTGCCACCTCAGTATACAATTATCCCCATTGTATTTAAATTTTGTAGTTGAGTGACTGTGGTTCCCACTGTTGGATCTGACATACAGAGAAGAGCAATTACAAGGCTCTTCAAAGATGCAGGTGCTGCCCTCACAAATCTATTTCACAAGGCATTGGTCAAGAGTATATCTTCTGGACCCTCCCAGCTGGGATGAGTAGGTCTAAAGCAACTAATCCACTCCACCATCCCAATCTCCCTAAGCCTTTGGATCCCTTCATCTACATTAAACCAAGGGAGATCAGGCATTTCCAGTTCACTCACAGCTAATTTCATATTTCAGCTAACCAAGCAAATAGATGATTAGAACATTTTTTAACTCCCCAAGCTGCAATATTAAATGCAGAGTCCCTACTTAGTGGGCCCAAATCAATAAATTCAGCCTGATCCAACTCTATGTTCCTTCCACCATTATCCCACACTGTTAATATCCATTCCCATGCCTGTTCTCCAGATTTCTGTTTATATAAATTAGAAAACTCAAGCAGGTATTTTCAAGTGTAGCACACCTCCTCATGGGTCACACTCTCAACCTCACCTCTAGGGGCCCACCAGGACTTTAGTCTAGTTACAGATCTAAAAGCAAACAGGGGTGTTGGGGGTGGCTCTTGAGGAGAATCAACATTATCTTGCCTGGCAACTGCCTCAGGGGAGGCCATCGCTCTTGCCTCAGGCAGCACGGGGTTTATCTCCTCAGACAAAGGTAGAAAGGTTCATGGCAGCGTGGTTTGGGGAGGGAATGTTGCCACTACTGGGGATGGGGAAGCTGTTTCTTCTGGCCAAAAGGGTTCATCAGAGTTTACAAACTCAGTGTCCCTAGCGTCATCAGGGTCCTCCCACACATTCCCATTCCAAGTTGCAGGGTCCCATTCTTTTCCAATCAATGCTCTCACTTCAACAGTAGACACCTGGTAAAGCTGTACATGCACCTTTTTTTGCTGGTCAGCCACTTATATGATAAGAGCTTGTGTCTGTTTTTCTACAATTGCAGCTCTTTCTCTACGGAAGATAAGACTTTCACTCAGGGCAATCTTTGCAGATTTGAGGCTCAGTATCTGCTACTGAAGCCAGGACATAGAATCCCTGAGTTCATCATTTTCTTTCATCACTTTGCTCACTGAACTTAGGAGCAACCAACCAGCTTCATTATGTTCCTTGGTTCTCTCTATATGGTCAAAGTTATTATGTATAGAGTCACTAAACTCTTTGCCTCTCACTAGCGATGAATCGGGAATGTCAAATGCATTTATTTTGCATAATTCTCTAAATGGTTAATGCCAAGGACTACCAGTGGTGTTCTCCATACTATTAGAGGTAGAGTCCTTAGAATTTTGGGGTCTAATCGTATTAAGCAGCCAGCTCCAGAAACCCCAAAACTGACTAAAGAACCCCATCCTTAATATTCTGTTCCTTTACAATCACTCCTGGTACCAAAATCTGATCTGTATTAATCAGGGTTATCTAGAGACAGAACTAAAGGAAAAAAAAAATATATATATATATATATATATATATATATATATATATATGAACTAATGGAATATATATATATTCACTCACACAATCAAGAGGTCCCATAATAGGCCATCTGCAGGCTGAGGAGCAAGGAGAGCCAGTCTGAGTTCCAAAACTGAAGAACTTGGTGTTCGATGTTCAAGGACAGGAAGCATCCACCACAGGAGAAAGATGTAGGCTGGGAGTCTAGGCCGGTCTCTCTTTTTCACATTTTTCTGCCTGCTTATATTCTAGCCGTGCTGGCAGCTGATTAGATTGTGCCCACCAGATTAACGGTGGGTCTGCCTTCCCCAGCCCACTGACTCAATTGTTAATCTCCTTTGGAAACACCCTCATAGACACACTCAAGATCGATACTTCGTATCCTTCAATCCAATAAAGTTGATACTCAGTATTAACCATCACACAGGTCTTAAATAAGACAACCATTTCTTTTTTTTTCTACACAGCATTCCGGAGATGCAAGATGAAGCAGCTCCACCATATCCAACATAGGACCTTTATCTCTGGTCCAAGGAAGCTATTTCAGCTTTCACTCTTTCCTAGACAGTAGGAAGAAATGGAGGACTGCTCACATCCCATTATGCAGCATTTAATGATAGGGTCACACCTACTTATAACAGAGGCTGGGAACTATGGAACCCACAAATACGGCTATGTGCTGACCTACAATTCAGGGCATTCTATTGCTAAAATGAAGAAGAGAAAACAGTTATCAGGGGACATTAGACTGCCACAGTCCAGGGGTTGAGAAAAGATAGCCTGCAGGCCAAATCTGGCCTGCCACTTGTTTTTGAACAGCCTGTGAGTTAAGAGCAGCTTTTACAGATAAGCATTTACAATCAGTTTGAGGCTAGGGGACAGGAACTTTGAACCGCAATTAATCAAAATGTTATTTTTCCCCCAAAAGAATTCCATTTTTCTTCATAGTAGAGTTGTATTACAAGAATGATATTCAATTATTATTAAACTTAGCATTTCATCAATGAAAAATTTATAGAAATTTGTTTTCTCTCTTGTTACGTAAGCACCAATACAATATATTTAATTTTGCCTTTTGGCTCGAAAAGCCTAAAGTATTTATTTCCTGGCCCTTTACAGAAAAGTTTGCTGACTCTGTCATCATCTGAGTTGGACTAACCTAACAGAATTTCTACAAAGTGTTGAAAGAATGGCTTACAAGTGGCTTAACAAAATGAAATCTCATGACCCTAACGAGTCCAACCTGTGTTTCTAATTATAGAAAAACTTATTTAACTAGGTCACAGATCCAGCAACTTCTAATTAGCTGAAGTCCAGTGGAAAAAACAGGCAACTAGGGGAGGAAAAGTTTTCTTCATAGCCAAAATCAAAGCACTAAAGCTTATGCATTGCAGCACAGGCAGCAGAATGCCCAGATCTTTACATGAGGCACATTTACCTTATACAAGACACAATTCTGTTAACTATTAAAGACTTAACTGGATTAGCAATTCTCTCAAGCCCACAGCAGAGCTGGAGCAGTAAATCTGAAGGGGTTTGGGGGGAAAGAAGATGGAGTGAAAGTGCTGCTCTCTAGGGCCTCTTCATATAGGGACCAAAACCTTCATTACATCTCTGAAGCCTCCAAGGACACCATTGCGTTAGAGCTCAAAGTAATAATAATCTTAAAGATGACCCTGAGCCATCAAGCACAGGTAAAATTATATTCTTTACAGTCTGTTTCAAGAGGTAGAGAATCATACACTTGAGAAAGCCTATCATCAAAAATAGTGAAAATAAAATTTTGGCCATTTAAAGCGCTAAGTTCAGCTATCCATAAGTTAATTCATGTGGAAGTTTTATTCTCCCAAGAACTCATGTAAATAAGATGTGATAACATGCTGCTTATAAACAAATACTTCCACAGTCCTAGCAAACAGATTCTCTTAACCTAGTACTTTCATTTATTTTATTTTTTTAAAATAAGACTGTATTCTTATTGACAATATTGTGGCAAAACTTGCCAACCCTTGTCTACTGATCACAAATATGAATACTTTCTATGAAAGGGACGAGAAACCAGCTCAAACTGATAGAATAAGGAGATAGAGAAGGAGAAGGAGAAGCAAACTGATAGAATAAGGAGATAGAGAAGGAGAAGGAGAAGGAGCAGGAGATGGAGATGGAGAAGGAGAAGGAGAAGGAGAACGAGAAGGAGAAGGAGAAAGAGAAGGAGAAGGAGAAGGAGAAAAGGCAACCCAAGGCTATGAAGGAAATAAACAAGATGGTAGGTTAAGGAAAGGCAAATAGAGTCTCCTTTCTATTATGTAAGGTGGTCATTGACCTCTTCTCTGAGAAGGTGAAATTTCATCTGAAACCTGAAAGATAAGGAGCTGATTGTTGGAAAAGCAAGTGGACATAGTCAGAAAGGACAACTTGGATGAGGGCTTCTCAGTTTTTAGGGTTGCCTCCTTCCCCTCCAAAAAGGCTGAGTCAATCCCAGCCCAATGGGTAAAAATATGATTAGGAGTAGCCTGTCAATGTATTCCATGCCCCTGGAAATAATGACTGGTCCAGGATTAAACATACTGGCCAGTTTGGGCCAATGAGACTCTGGGAGGAGAGAAATGCTCTTTCCGGGCTGGTTGATAAACTGCAAGGTTGTGTTTGGGGCCATTAGCCATTTTGCCACCTCACAGGGAGAGTTTGCCTAAAAATGAAGCCAACACAGAGGAGAGCACATCTAAGAAGAGGGAGCAATGCATGCATGAAGTGGTCATTTGAGCACCTGAAGTCACCATTCTGAGTTTCACCCCTGGAGTTTTGTTATGAAAACCAGTAAACTCCCCTCTCTCCTCCCTGCCTTTTTTTTTTTTTTCCAAATGGAGTTTCGTTTCTGCAATGGGCAACTGAAAACATCATGATAACAAAGTTGGCTTTAGAAATGACAGAAGTAAGAGTCCATTTGTATTTAGAGGAGTGAGTGCTTGGTGAGCCCTCTGAATACTGAATATTGTAGGTAATTTTAACATAATGGCATTTGTGTATCTAAACATAGAAAAAGTACAGTAAAAGTACTGTATAAAAGATTTTAAAAATAGGATACCTGTATAGGGCTCGTGAATGGGGCTTACAGGACTAGAAGGTACTCTGGGTGGGTCAATGAGTGAGTGGTAAATGAATGTGAAGGCCTAGGACATTACTGTACTACTGTAGACTTTATAAATACTGTACACTTAGGTTACATTACATTTACTCAAAATTTCTTTTTTCAGTAATAAATTAACCTTGGCTTACTATAATTTTTTACTTTATAAACTTTTTGATGCTTTTAACTTTTTGACTGTTTTGTAATAACACAGTGTGAAACACACATTGTACAGCTGTGCACAAATATTTTCTTGGCTGGGCGCAGAGGCTCACACCTGAATTCCCTGCACTTTGGGAGGCCGAGGTGGGTGGATTACTTGAGGTCAGAAGTATGAGACCAGCTGGGCCAGCAAGGCGCAACCCCGTCTCTACCAAAAAATACAAAAATTCGCCAGGCTTGGTGGCACACACCTGTAGTCCCAGCTACTCAGGAGGCTGAGGCAGGAGAATCGCTTGAACCCGGGAGGCGGAGGTTGCAGTCAGCCAAGATCGCACCACTGTACTCCAGCCTGGGGGATAGAGTGAGACTCTGTCTCAAAGAGAATAAAAATAAAAGTAAATAAAATAATTTTTCTTTTTTATATCCTTATTCTATAAGCTTTTTACTATTTTTCATTTTAAAACAATTTTTAACTTTTTTGTTAAAAACAAGGACAAAAACAGAGACATTAGCTTAGGCCTTCACAGGGTCAGGATCATCAATATCACTGTTTTCCACCTCCACATCTTGTTCCTCTGGAAGGTTTTCATGGGCAGGAACATGCATAGAGCTGTCATCTCCTCTGATGACAATGCCTTCTTCTGGAATACTTCCTGAAGGACCTGCCATTTTAACAATTAGGAGTACTCTCTACAATAATGATAAATAGCAAATACATAAATCCGTAATATAGTCATTTATTATCAAGTATTATGTTACCGTTCATAATTGTATGTGCTATAATTCTCTATGACTGACAGTGCGGTAGGCTTGTTTATACCAACATCACCACAAACATGTGAGTAATGCATTGAGCTCATGGCATGACAGCTGCAATGTCACTAGGTGATAGAAAGTTTTCAGCTCCATTGTAATCTTATGTGACCACCATCACATATGCAATCCATCATTGACCAAAACATCATTATGTGGCACATGACTGTATTTTATTGCAAAACTTGGGTCTTAGGATCTCTGTCTGGCAGAGGATTGAGTAGGGGGTGAGAGCCGGAGAGCTGGTTATGAGAAATGAGCCATGAATAATGAGGAAGAGGGAGATGCAGCTGTAGGGATTTAATATCTTCCTTCCCTCCCTTTCTATCACCCTGGGGTTAAGGGTGAAGGAAGAAAAAAGTCCCAAATCTGTGCATCTGAAAAGGCAAAAGATTGGCAAGGGTAGAGTTTGTCCAGTCCTCTTGAAGTCCAAGCAATGAGTATCTGTTGTTTTGCTTACAGAGATTCCTCTTCCCGCTTTGGGAACAGTATCCTTTGGAGTCTGGGTGAGTCCCACCTCCTTGTCTCTTGGTCTACAAGGTTTAGGTGCTGCTGAATGAATCTAGCAGAGTGGACACGTGACCCAGACCTGGCCCACTGGTGTGTTCCATTTTTGGGTTATGGTGATCATAACCAAGTAGGGCTGATCAGAACTACTACAGGGACTTCACCATAGCAACTGGGAAAGAGGTGCTGGCTTTCTACTGGACTTTGAAACTGCCAGAGGGGACCTCATGGAGAAGACCTGCCTCCAAGAGGAGGTTGGCACCAAGAAAATTAGAGACAAGCAGATTGAATGCTTGTTTGAGCCCTTGAACCCAGGCATACGTGAAGTTATATTTGCCATTTGGACTTTATGGTAATATGAGCCAATAAATTCCTTCATTCCACTGGAGTGAAATTCCTCTGCTCACCGTTTATTCCTAGGCGAAGAGTGAGGGCTGAAAAGTATTTTTAAAAGACATTGAATGAAAGAAATCTGTGATCTCATCTGTAAGGAGTGGAAAAGGTGTGTTAATGTATTTTCCCTTGGGCTTCATAATACAGTGTTTAAATTCTAAAACAATCTTAGTAAGTCCTATAATATACTACAGGCATGTAAGAATTAATATAGCTCTTGTGGGTTGGCCTATAACCAATTAACAACCGAACTTTGGAGATACAACCTGATCCCTCTGTCAGAACTTACCTTCATTGAAAAAGAGTCATTGACAAGACTACATCAATTCTGAATACCATACAATTCTTCCTAATGTCCTTCCAGCAAAAACCAGTAAGCTGAACCTAAAGTTATAAACCAAATATTTCCTAAACATTAGGTTGTCCATATTTAAAGATGTGGGAGACATTCAACTTAAAGAACTTTTTATAGTACCACTCATACAAAAGGTACATTGAACATGTGTGTAACCAGAGTGAATATTTTCTTTGAAAATGAAAACATGTTACTTTTTAAATTCAGGAATAACAGTTTCTTAATGCCAATATTTTCCTTAATCAGAATTTTATATTTTCAATGGAGATGAAAACCTAAGCTAATTTGTTTCTTCAGAGTAATACTTTTTTAATGACAATGACGTCTACCTATGGAATCATAAACAAACGTAAGCATACTTGCCTTAGGAAAACAAAAAAAAAATTTATTGAGTTTAAATAATTTCTGTAAAATCTCCAGAATTTCCCAAACTGTGTTCTTTGGAACAATTAGCAGGTGTCTTACACACGTGCGCGCACACACACACACACACAATCCTGTGGCCAAATGAGACTGGGAAATGTTACGAACTCTCAATCCCATTAGCATAATTTAGAATGTGAGAAGTCTTGCAGTAGAAATACTTGTTCACATTTGTTTAGCTCAGCATTTCCCAAAGCTAACTTCCTCAAAATTAACTACAGTATAGCATTTCCTGACCCCAGCCCACCTCCAAACCCCCATTCCTCAAAGCAACTTGTGCAACAGCTTGTGGAACTAGTTCCATAAAGTGAAGTTTGGGAAACACTAGTTTCGTGGCTTCTATTTACATAGATTTTGCTGTCTGAATAATATGTAAGGAATTTTGAGTGACAATTGCACCCATTTGGATATATCTTCAACTGACTCCATAATTAGAAATTTAAAATGCAAATTTTTCAAAAGCAAACTGTCTTTACCATTTACATGCGTTGCTGAAATTTATTTGGTTTTGTGTATACTCATATTACTTTCCAGTGTATCTGGTATAGGTAATAGGCTCAAAAGACCTACAAATACTGAACACAAATACAATTAACCATGTCTACATTTTATGTATATACAGGACCTTGACAATTTTAATATGGCAGATTTACTCTACACTTTTTTGAGGGGAGGAGGATATATGCCTCTTGGGAAAACTGGGATAATAAAAGCTTCTTCACTTACACTCTGTTCAGACGTGTATTATGGATTCATGTTATTATGGGTACAGACATAAAGCCACTGCTATTGAGCCTCAGATGTGGCAGCAAAGAATTAAGAGATCATCACAACCTCTCTCTAAATATAATGAAAATCTAACTTTACAACGCTCCTCTTAAAGGAGCTTTCCTCATGCTACTTGGCTATGCATTAAGTCTTGGCATACACAAAAAAATAAAAACAGAGTAATTCTAAGAGTTCATTTATGTTGGCTGGATTATGAAGATTAACTTCTCAGATGGTTTTCCAAAGAAGTCATCAAATGTAAGTACAATTGAAAATAAAATCCTGAGAAACATTTCAATATTGATAGGAAACTGAAGACAGGATATAGTCAAGACACCACTCTTAGCTGTATAATATCAGTGTATATTGCAAAGGATTAAACAGTTTAATTTTCTAAAGAATATAATAAAGATTTCAGCTTCACTAAGGCATATTTTATGAAAATAATATAATTATTCTCATGGCAGAAGCATACATGCAGAATGTACAGGTTTAAAACAATTTAAATTTTAGGTCATTTGTGCTGAAGATATTTTAATGTGATACTTTGAGTTTATTACTAATTCTCTAAAATATTCCTACCCTAGGTCTTACAAACAGCAAGGTTCCTTTCTCCTAAATAGCCTGTGGCTTCTGTCCCCTGGCCAGTTTACACATGTCTTCAATCTATGTTGTAATTCAGTGCTTTGCCAAATGTGGTGTGCATGTCACTGCTAATACATATGATGATTTTAGTTGGTCCAGAAAGTATTTTCCATTTTAGTAATGAAGGTGATTATTATAAGAAAAGCTATCATTTACTAAGCATTTACTATGTGCTGTCAAGCACAAATTCTAGTATTATTAACTCGAATGGTCTTCACAAGACCACTATGTGGTAGCTACTTTTGAGGCACAGGGAGGCCAAATAACTTGCGCAAAATCATAGAGCTAGACATGGGCAGAGATAAGATTCAAACCCAGGAAGATTAACTGAGAGGTCATGTGTGGTGATTGAACGGATATAATTTATTTGAAAGTGAATTGGCTTAATAAAATTTTAAGAAATGTAACTCTGTGGATATCAAATGAAGTCATACACACTGTAGGCAAATGTCTAATCTTCAGGTAACACCACTATAACACGTTAATTGTGTGTGTGTGTGTGTGTGTGTGTGTGTGTGTGTCTGTGTGTAAGTGGGGGAAGCTAAAGATGAAGGATTCTTATGGGCTGTGAAATGACTATTTACTGGTAAATATCAGGACAGAAATGTGGGTGAAGGTATTGCTGCAGATCCCCCGGAGATGAAAAGCCCCAATTTTCAACTTACTTGCTTTTGATTTTGCCCAGAATATTCTCTCTTGTTCCAAAAGGAAATCTTTCTACTTTTACATGTTTTTAAGGGATCCTACAGTTATACTTCTAGGGAAAATATAAATAATTCAAATAGGTCTAAAAAAGAAAGGCCTTGATTATTGTATATTACAATTTAAGAAGAAAATTAAAAGTAGGAAAAAGCTGACAGTCAGATCAGAAGCATTACAGGAAGTTTCTTGCTCATTTTCTCCAGAGGTTAAGCCAGAATATATTTTTTAAAAGGGCAGAAGTTTAAGGTCTAGCTAGGGAATAAAGACATGTTTTGTCTGACACTTCCCAATTCAAATCCAACATTTATCAAATGATTCTTAAGTAGTGTATTAAAAAAAAAAGGCAACCAGGAGCTGGCAGCCTGGGTATATTAAGCTTTCATTATTGTAAATTTGTATTTTAAAAACCCAATATCTTTTCTGTAAATATGCAAGGGTTTCTCTGACAATTTCTCTTTTTTAAAGCCACCTCTCAATGAAACATTTTAAATAAAACTCCTATATCTAAAATGAAGTCTTGGCATTTGGGAGTTTAAAATCTCCCCAAATTCAGAGGGGGATAAAAAAGGTGCATAATTACACCTCATCTGAGTGTAAGTCAAAAAGTAATCAAAAATGTTTAAAACCAAAAAGTAACATCTTAGAGTGGCATTTTAAACAAAAAAAGTACTTACTGGCATTTTCTAAATTTTCATGCAATTTGTTATTCATTAAATCAGAAGAAAATGTGCACTACCATTTTTTGATATGGCAGATAGCATTCAAAATTGGCATTAACACAATAGGCCACCACTATGTGAAAAACCAAATGCTTTAATGAGGCTATCAAGAACAAGTCGATTATTTCATTGGATACATTAATATCGATCCATAATATACAGTGCTATGGACCATACAGAAATTATTGCTGCATCCAACAGCAGGTGACTATTATTAACATTACAGTACCAAGCATCCGCAAGAGACAGTCATTTGTCATTTTTTATCAAGAAATAGGGCTGTTTTATACTGTTATTGACATCAACTTTTTCCCAGTGCATTTTTCAAAAATATTAATAAGTTCATTCCTTTGTGCTTTTAACTTCCTATGTATTGTATTTGTTCTTATTGCTTTATTGTTTAAAAACAACCAGAAAGAATTTTGTCATCCTATGTATGACCAGGTTGCTTGTATGCTTTTTGGCAAAGTCAGAAGGTTTGGTATTTCCATTGCCCTACTCAGAGGCAGATGGACAATTTTGGCATTTTGGTCACTCCATATAGAGGCCCAACCCCGAGTTACAATTCTGCACCCGGGAATCGGGGGAGTGGTGTGGATCATTTTCTTGTTACAAACAACAAGCCCAAACCACTGCCTCTTGGCTTAGCTAGCCCCTGAAATGAATCCACACTCTATTTGGCAAAAAAGAAATAAATAAAACCACCCCCAAGATTGCAGCATTCTCCTGGGCTTGCTCACCTGCCACCTGCAGAAATTGTCTCTTAAGGAGAAGGGGAGGGGGAGGCAGGCAATGGCAAGGTTAGGAGTTGTGACAGTCAGGGCAGTGGTACAAGATGCCATACTTTCTTTCAACAAAGCTTTCTATATGGTTGCTTAACCATGGTCCTGTTCCCGTGGCCGTAGGTTAGTCAACCTTGCTTTATTTTTAAAAACCCTCAAAATCAGCTAAGGAAAACTAACATCATAGCATCACGATCTTCAACTTTTGCATCCAGCGCCCTCCCCCCCATATAAATATGAAGAGAAAAATAGACAATGCTATGATTGTATCAATGAACACTATGGTACAATTAGCTGTTCATGCAGATTTGCGTCACTATTCTAGGAAAAGAGCTATACAGTTAAGGGGGTTGAAAGAATGGGAACTAATTTTCCCTACCCCCTTAAGAAATAAAGCTATAAAACTGATAGCATCACCAATGTTTCCAAGGATTCTCATTGCCCAGCGTGCATGGGAACTATGCAGTTGATTATTTTCACCTAAACCGTCCATTCACACATCTGACGATCACTCCTCTCTGAACCCTCCATCACCCATCACCAATTCACATTTGACATTTAAACACTTTTTAAAAACCCTCCTGAATAAGGTTTCCTGATGAAAGAAGTTGGCACTCTGTCACTAAAATATATTTAATATTAAAAATATCTGAAGGAAAATTGGAAGCTCTTATATTGTCTACATAGGCACCATGCTACATGTTCGTCTTGACTATAGATACCATCATGAAACTTTCCCCTACATTACAGTTCAGTCAGTGCTAGTCCAAAAAAGACTACTGCTATATTTAAGGCACTTCATTCTGAATGGATATGCTTTATGCCACTTGCTATTCAGTTGTAGGCTGCTACTGAGAAATTCCATTCAACAGCCTGGCTCATAACACTATATGGCATCTGTATAAAACATCTAGGCTTGATACATGTAACACTACTGTTATTGCATAGGACTACACAAGTAGATAATGCACTGAAACTAACTTTATAACATTGCTTCTTGTTAAAACATTGTTATCAAGTAACAGTAACTTCCCAATACAGTATTTCTTTCTTAAAAATAAATTCAACAAGTTTGCTGAAATAAACCCCAATTTAAATGACCATAATGGGCGTATTAATGCTATGGTTATCAATCTCCAAGAATATTGCTATTTTCATGTCCTAAAAATAAATATGTAAGTTTATTCTTTCTAGAAAGCCTGGTTTTAACCTATTAATACTACACCTTAAATGTGTCCAAAAACAGTTCTGAGTGAGACTGTAATTTACAAAATATTCGCAAAGCTGTCTTTTAAATGCAAGACCTTGCATAAAAGTTTTCTTTCATGGGTGTACAAAGAATGCGGAAAACCACCAGTGAGTTGTAAAAATATGGAAAACTTGCCATTTTAAGATGCATATTCTTACAAATTAATACAAATATATTGAAAAGAACAATGATAATAAAGAATCTGTACAAATCAAATGAACAGTAAAACATAATTTAAAAATAAAAATAGTAAAGCCAATTAGAAATATGCCCAGTTCGGTTTTCTTATCAAAAGCAAAAATAAAATAAAAAAAAAGTAAAACATACTTTCAGTGCTCCTCAATATTTTACTTTGAGAGGACATTAATTTCCATTTCAAAATAAAATATCTTATGAAAAACTGGATCACACTCATTGATGAAGAAAACTGTAACAGCACAGAATAAAAGAGAGCAAGATTAGACTTTATATTTCAGAGCCTTGGTCTAACTCCCTTCAGTTTCGGTTGGTATCAGTTATGTTTTCTAACCAGACGATCCTCATGAAAAGGCCGCATTTTTTTTTTCTTTTACAGAATACATATTTCTTTAAATAGTTTGCAGTATAAAGACTAAACAAAGCTAGAGGGGTACTGTATCTTTAAGGCAGTACCAATGAATCAATACATTTATAAAATGGAAAAGGGTTAGTATGGATTTCTTTTCCTCTTTCTTTCTTTTTTTTTTTCTTTTTGGTTGCTTTACATTCTTTCAATTAAACTTTACATTTGATTTCCAAGGAAGTCACAGGCATAAAAATCTCAAATCAAGTTTCCCCTGAATAAAAATGGACAGACATTTCTCTGACGCAAAATCCTCTTGCTCAGAAAGCTAAAGTCTGTGGTGAATTCAGTTCACAGATACTGCACACTTATTTGTACAATACTTTGGAGGCATTTGTAGTTGTAAAATAGAATATACAAGTCTGTTTCACAAAATTCTAAAAATAAAATATATCCTGGGCTATTGATAAAGCATGAAAAAAAATTTCATATTAAAGGAAAATTATCAAGAAAACCCCTTCAGGTAAGTTATTAAATCTACGAATCAAGAAAGGAAGCAGTTTGTGCGAATGCAGTGCAGGGAGGATTCGCTAACAAGTGTGCTCCGTCTCTTCCATGCTCATACTGCTCCTCCGGCTGCTTGTTTTGGAAGCTCCGGGGGACACTGAGGAAAGGAGTGGATCAGTGACACCGACGGGAGAAAGGGTGTCGTCCATCAGGATGTCTTCCAGTTTGGATCCCATTTTTGTGGGGACACTATAGGCTTGGTTGGCCTCAGTCCCAGTTCCGAGGTTGTTGTTGAAGGTGATGGTGCCATCCGTGAGATCGAGAGTTGTTGTACAGGTTAGGTCTGCATGATGCTGAAGGAGGTCTTGGCTGCAGTTCTCAAGAACGGGTTCTTGCTTGATGATCCGATTCACCAAATCTGGAGAGCAGAGACCCGTGGATGGAATAAGGGAAAGTCCATGAGCTCGAGCCTGCATTTCAAGTTCCTATAATAAGAGTAAAGATAAAACACTGAAATAGGCAGAGCACAGAGGACTTTTAAGCCTGTGAAACCACTCTATATGATACTATAATGGTAGATGCGCGTCATTAGACATTTGGCCAAACCCACAAAATGTACAATACCAGAGGGAATGTAAAGTATAGACTTTGGAGGATAATGAAATGTCACTGCGGGTTCATTGATTCTAATAAATGTGCCACTCTGGTAGGGAATGTTGATAATGGGGAAGGCTGTGCGTGCTTGGGGGAATGAGGTGTATGGGAAATATCTGCAGCTTCATTTCAATTTTACTGTGAACCAAAAACTGTCCTGAAAAATAAAGTCTATTTTTAAAAATCAGATACTTGGAAAACAATAAATCCTCAAAATAAAAGTTTTTTGTTCTTTTAAATTAATGAGCTCTGTATGTTCTAAAGTATAGGAGAAGTACCACTGGCAGTATGTGAAATAAATTTTTAGGTGTTTTATAGATTTGATTATGTATGAAAAATAGAGATGGTCTCTCACAGATATTAATGTTCACACTGAGGATAAGTTAAAAAATACAAAAATAAAGTTTTAAATGCGAGCTGATAAAAGAAAAATATTATTTGGGAGGCCGAGGGGGGCGGATCACCTGAGGTCAGGAGTTTGAGATCAGCCTGGTCAACATGGTTGAAACCCCGTCTCCACTAAAAATACAAAAATTAGCCAGGTGTGGTGGCACATGCCTGTAATCCCAGCTACTTGGGAGGCTGAGGCAGGAGAATCGTTTGAACCTGGGAGGTGGAGGTTGCAGTGAGCCGAGATTGCGCCATTGCGCTCCAGCCTGGGCTAGAAGAGTGAAAGACCATCTCAAAAAAAAAAAAAAAAAAAAAAAGAAAAGAAAAAAGAAACATATTCAGTAAAGAGTTCATGGTCCTTCAGCTTTCATGGTCCTTCAGCTTTGCACTGAGGTCCCCATGTGTGCTGCAATGAACTCACAGAGCACTGGAGATAGCCTAACATTTCAAGGGCAATGGCAATACTACCTGAGAACTACTAAACTCAAGATAGTTCTCTTCTAGCATCAGACTGTGCTATATACTTTTCAACCACATGATATCATTGCAAAGTTGAGCTTTTGGCAGTTGCTGTGATTGAAGGAAAACAAGTGCCACATGAACATCATTGTGGCCTGGGAAACAAGGGCGATGGGGTGATGGTGTCCAATCTGATTCCAAGACTTTAGAAGTCGTGCAGTGCCCAACAGACACACACATCCAGTTAGTAAGTAATATGGTTATTTAATAACAAAATAAAAATGCTATTTCCTTTCAATTTATATGTTTTATTTTTTCAAATGGCTACCAAGTTGTTAGAACCTAAATACTTAATAAGTTGTTCGGACCTAACAAAAAGAGTAGGTATTTCTTTTGGTCTAGGGGGATGGTAAAAAGATTGCTAAAACACTAAGAGTGCCATGAAGTAAAAAATTTGGGTAGTGATAGCAAAAGCTGTGAAAGTTCTATGCCAGTAACTAAAGTTTTAGAAGCATCATTTAGCCCATCTCACCATGGCAAAGGGGAAGTATTTTTTTAACTCAACAAGTACGTTCTCATCTATAAGATGAACAATTTTTTTCCTTTCCTTCCTCACATACATTCCTATTATTGGCTAAATTGTGTCCTGGAAAACATTTGAATGTTGAAGTCCTAACCTTAGTACCTTGGAATGTGACTGTATTTGGAGATAGGGCCTTTAAAGAGGCAATTAATTTAAAAAGAGATTTTACTAGTGGGCCTAAACCCAATAGGACTGGTGTCCTTGTAAGAAGAGGAGATTGGGACAGACACACACAGGAAAAAAGACCATGTGAACACACAGGGAGAAGACAGGCATCTACAAGCCAAGGAGAGAGGCCTCAGAAGGGACCAACCCTGCTGACAACTTGATCTTGGACAACAACTAGCCTCCAGAATTATGAGAAAATAACTCTTGTTTACCACCCAGTCAGTGGCATTTCACTACAGCAGCACTAGCTGGGTAATACACTTCCTAAATACCCTTGATTCCCCCTGTAACTCATTGCAAAATGCCTTCCAAGCAAGCTCTTTCCCTTTTTCCTTTCTGAGTGTATCCCTGGGCACTCCTAAAATGAACCACACAGACTTTAATTGATTCCTGATAAGCATTCTGCTTCTCCATTCCAATGCTATCCCTTCCACGGTTGTGAAACAATAATATATAGCAAGAGAATATAAATTTGAAGCAAGTCACCTTTCCTTATCAGAGAGGGGAAGGACTCTCCATATGACATGGCCTCTCAACCTCTGCCCACAAGCTGAGAAACATATGTGCCTGCAAAGCCACGTTTCAGTCTAAATTCAAGGTTTTTGGGTCTGCAAAATCCTTCTTTGGATACAATATGAGTAAAAGCCAGGAGCTTGACATGTCACACAAGTACCTTCAAGTTCCTTTACATAATCTCCAGAAACACAAGTTTCTTCAGGCACCATTTGAAAGCCCTGGGCTATTTAATAAAATGGCAGTTCCACTGACATAAAGGATTCATGCTCTTTCTTCTGTGAAAACTTTTGCATGCATCACTTAGAGTGAAAATGAAAGAAAGCCCTTAGGCCCATACTGAAAACATGGACTCTTGTAAATCTACACCAACATGCTAATAAGAACAGTACCTCCACACAGGCAGATTGTCTTTTCAGAAAAAGAATAATAAAGTTGGATTAAGAGAGGCAAACATCTCACTCTAATCCTTTGTTGTCTAATTAAAAATATTTATCAGCGATTAAAGCATTACTCAGATTTCTAAATAAGGTGATAAATCTCATCTAGAGAACTCTGGCTTAATTGCATCACAGAGCTTTCCTAATTAATAATGTTTTCTGTGATATGCAAAAGTTCTAAAGGCTGCCTCACACCGTCACTGGAAGAAAACCAAGATATCGTCACCATGGAATTTCCAATGCACATATTTCACAATATTCGTATTTCATATGAATATACATGTTTGGAACCCTAAAATAAAACAAAACCTAGCTTCTCTTTCAAAATAGTTATTACATTTTAATACTTGTAGAAGGAAACAACACATTAGTACAAGCTGCTTTTTTTTGTTTGTTTTTTGAGACGGAGTCTTGCTCTATAGCCTAGGCTGGAGTGCAATGGCACAATCTCAGCTCACCGCAACCTCTGCCTCCCGGGTTCTCCTGCCTCAGCCTCATGAGTAGCTGGGATTATAGGCATCCACCACCATGCCCAGCTAATTTTTCTTTTCTTTTCTTTTCTTTTTTTTTTTTTGTATTTTTGGTAAAGACAGGGTTTCACCATGTTGGCCAGACTGGTCTCGAACTCCTGAACTCGTGATCCACCCACCTTGGCCTCTCAAAGTGCTGGGATTAGAGGCGTGAACCACCGCACCCGGCCACAAGCTGGTTTTATTTTTATTTTTATTTTTTTGTTTTTTTTTGAGATGGAGTCTCACTCTGTCGCCTAGGCTGGAATGCAGTGGCGCGATCTTGGCTCACTGCAACCTCTGCCTCCCGGGTTCAAGTGATTCTCTGCCTCAGCCTCACGAGTAGCTGGGATTACAGGCGCCCGCCACCATGCCCAGCTAATTTTTCTATTTTTAGTAGAGATGGGGCTTCAACATCTTGGCCAGGCTGGTCTTGAACTCCTGATCTTGTGATCCACCCGCCTTGGCCTCCCAAAGTGCTGGGATTACAGGCGTGAGCCACGTGCCCGGCCCACAAGCTGCTTTTATAAATAGGCAGACTATGTTCGAGAGATTAAATACCTATAGCTACTTATTGAAGAGACAGAACATAAAACCAACAACAAAAGCCAAAGTAGAGGAGGGGAGGGGAAAGGAGGGCTTTCAAATTACACACTACCTCTACTTCACTACCCAGAATCTAAAATGCACCCCAACAGGGAAGTGGCTTCCCACCTCCCCACCCCACAGCTGAGGAATCACTGCAGTGAATGAGAGATGTGGCATTTCAAAATATAAGCATTCAGAAGACTGGAGACCATTATTATAAGTGAATTGCTCTGTTTGAAAAGTTCAACGTCCGGGAGGAGCACCACTAGGTGAAACACAATGGTCGCTAGGGTGTCATACTTCTCATTGCTGTTTCGTAAAATAACTCCATGAATAGTTGCACTGGAAAAGTTGAAAGACAACCCTTGCTTTATGGCAAAATCTAGTAAAAGGTGGGTCAGCCTACTCAAGAAGAAGATATGGTGTCACTGACTCTTACAGATAGGTTGTGTTCAAAGTCAGCAAATTAAAATTACCCTCACAAACCCCCTTTGGTCCATAACAGGGAGTCTGTTTTTGAGGATCATTTCAGAGGAAGTAGTGCCCTTTCACTCAACAAGAGACGCCAAGCCCCTGAGAGAAGTTCCAGGAGTTGATACCAAAGAGGAATTCCCCATCTCCGGCTTACACTGGTGCATATACCCACTGAGTAGGATGACGCACAAATGGCACATATTAAT
Organism: Homo sapiens; assembly: GCF_000001405.40. Lineage (NCBI taxonomy): Eukaryota > Metazoa > Chordata > Mammalia > Primates > Hominidae > Homo > Homo sapiens. The sequence continues at coordinate 69,960,347 of NC_000003.12, read as the reverse complement.
AAAATTAGTATGTCTTCTTCTAATGGTGTATAGTTTAAGTTAAAGATATATATGCTATAATTCCACTATTTATAACTATCTCCAGGAATTATGTCCTTAATATAAGATCCTCTGGGTGTTCCCAAGTTCCCTGTAAACACAGATTTTGACCATCAACTGCTTCCCGGACCCTACAAATACTAAGGCATCTTCTTGTTTAACGTGGTATAGTCAGTACTTATTTTTTTTATGTTCTACAAAGTCACTGTGAACACTGAATTGGTGAACACTGAAGCACTGTTCCCAGGGGAATTACAAGTTAGGTTCCTGTGAGACCCTAGTCACAACACTTAATCTTGTTTTATGTATGTTTCTGTTGAAGGTCACCTTATGTAATATATGTTGTTGACTCATGAATATTAAACTCACAGCCAATAGCACTGTAGCTCATGCCTGAACGAAGCTTATCCAACACATGTATTTTCTCTGTAAGCACATCACGGCCTTCTTGCCCTCAGGAACTCTAGACAGTGCTTTAGCATTATGCTTGGGGGTCATTTTAAACAGCGAAATCACCAACAGAAACCACAAAAATGTAGAAAGTACTCAACAGACCACGAAAGGAGCACTTGTTTAGAGGATGAGAGCTGAAACAAGACAGCAGACAGTCAACCTCAGGCAGGGTCATTCGACCTCACCTGGAAATGCGTGCCATGGGCAGCTCAAACGTGCCACTCTGCACATGTCCAAGAATGACTGTGGAAGTGCCACAGATACTGACTTTGGGGTTACAAGTAGGCAAATTCACACACACAGAATCCACAAATAATAAGGATTGACTGTGTTAGGATCACGTAAGTCAACTCCCCTATGGCTCATTATATCCCTGTTTCTACTGTCTTGAAGTCGGTAAAAAGCAGTAAACTTTACACAACTCAGGCTGCGTACCTGTATTCTGAGCAACAAATGCCGGTTGGCGTGCTCCAGTTTCTTCTGTCGGTTTTCAAGTTCTTTTGCGCGTTGCTGTTCTCGTTGCAACTTTCGGATATAGTCCACGGATGCTTTTAAGATGGTTCCCTTGTTCCAGCGCATGTCTCTGCGATGAAAATGGAGGAAAACAGATATTTTTAGGATTTGAGGCTCAATGAAAATTCAATATTCAAAGCACTCCATTTCTTTTTGAACTTTTTAAAATTTTTTTTTATTTCAATAGTTTTGGGGGAACAGGTGGTGCTTGGTTACATGGATAAGTTCTTTAGTGGTGATTTTTGCGATTTTGGTACACCCACCACCCAAGCCGTGTACACTGTACCCAACGTGTAGGCTTTTATCCCTCACCCCCATCCCACCCCCTCCCTCCCTTCCCCGCAAGTCCCCAAAGTCCATTGTATCATTTTTAAAAGCATTCAATTTTAAAAATAAAATAATCATACATTAATTATAGCTGCCATTCACGAGTGTTTGCCACGTGCCTAGTGTTGCCCACCCAGTTTGTACACATTGTCTTACTTAACCCAGACAAGCACCTTGTAAGAGAGAGACTGTGCACATGTTGAAACAGACACAATTCAACTTGTCCTAGGCCACACAGTACTATATGGCAGAGTCAGGACTTAAAGTTAGGTCTGTTGATTACAAAGTCAGTTTCCTTAAACACTATGTTAAAGAGTTATAGGTTTCTAAAACTACAAAAGTTAACTCAGTGAGAATAAACGATGGTAAAACAGATCTGTGAGATCTCACTACTAAATTGTTTATGGCATAAACTCAGCATCCTTCTATTTTTTTTTTTTTTAATCAAGGATTATCATGGGCAGGCTATCTAGCCTCTCTTTGTCCATTTCCTCATCTACAAGTATCAGGTGGAACCGGTGAATGGAGGGTCATTAAACAAGTCACCAAGTAATTGATCCTCATCTGGGTTACATGAAGAACAACACAGAAGTTCTCCCATAAGAGGGACAGTTCCAGCCCCCAGAGAATTCCCTGGAGTTGATCCCTGGGGTCTGAACACCAAAGATGGCAACCCAGGGGAATGTCCTGAGATACCCACAGTGAGCGCAGAGACTTAATATTCAGAGCTAAGATCAAAGTAAGAGAAGTAACTTTAGCAGCCAGAGAGAAATGTAGTTAAAATAAATGATGCTTCACATAGGCCAGCAAGAAGAGAAATCAGAATTGGGATATTTGAAGGGTCACTCAGTTTAAAAGAAGTGATTGTTTCAACCAATTATCTTGGGTTTTGCTTCCTTGTGAGATCCAATCAATCAATTATGCTTCTGAGTTTAAGAAAGGGTTTTCAAACTTTTTTTTTGTTTGGTAATAAGAGGGACTCTTTTTTCACAGAATAGTGAATATAGATCTCCATTATATAAAATCAACAAATGCAGACTTGCTCTGGTGGGAGAAAAGGTACCGGGCTGAGACCCCAGTCTGTAAGACTGTGTCTCTATAGCAGCCCCAAGGCACATTCTAGAAACCTGGTGTGGGAAACCACCATATAGATTATAGTCTGTTTTGTCTTAAAACAATGCCTACAATTAAAGATCATTATCAGTTCAGATTATAAACCCGCAAGTATTCTAATACAACGGGGAAAGAAGATATGCAAATAGAGGCTTTCACTGCAGCCCCATAATTTCATAATATGTTGCTAAAGAGATTCACATGCTACAGTTTAAAAGAATATGCTAAAAAGTGAAAGCTGATAAAGAAGAGGAAAATGGGAATTCAATTTCAACTATCATGCAAGACTGACTATAGGAAATGAAGGTCACAGCCCTTTAGTAGGATAAATTTGTGCTGCAGAACTGAGAATCTGAAATGTTTCGGGTTTGAAAATGCCTTTCCTTGAAACCTGGGAAAGCAAAACATTGAAGATGGAATTGTGCTTGTACATTCATCAAAACCACCTCACAATAGGTAATGGTTTTATTTTATTTTGTTACAAATCCTCTAACAGTAACGTGAACAGCAAATTTAATAAGCCTGGCATGAATAATACTTGATTTCATCTTTACATTTTATTAGGTAGCTAAAAGGTCATATTCAAAGGCTAATTTCACAGAATGCCTGTGGGGGCCATTAAAATGTATACATTTTCTAGCCCCTTGCTTCAAATGGGCCAATTTCTAATGGATAAAAACTGTGTGTTTGTTGTCCTATCTGCTGATGTTGCAGGTAACTATAGGCTGGTAGGAAAGACTTGAGAAAATCATCTTTACAGCTGTTATCTCTGAAGGGGACAGGGTGGGTAAAGAGAGACCAAAAGCTGAAATCTAAATTAGCTGACCTGTACTTAATAAGAGGATTAAAACACTACTTTTTTTCCCCTACAATGGTAAAACATACAAAGAGTAGGCAAGTTTTCATAAAAATAATTGACCCTTTTTGTCTGTGGAGTATCATTAAACTTTAAGTCTCTAATGTCTGTTCATCAGTGCCTATTTAGAGGTACTGTACAAGTCAAAGAGCAAACAGTCAACAAATCTAGCTTTAACAACTATTGAAAGTTCTGTTCTGCATGAACCATTAAAGGAAATTTTTTTTAAGCTCAGTATTTGTTTGCAAAGAATTCTTAGGTTTCAGAAAGCCACCTCCTCACAACCAAAACATCTAGTGTCCAACAATCCTTTTGCACAATTCAATGCTTTTGTCTTGAAATTTTAGCTTGATGAGACTAACCAAAAGAAAGGTGTAAGAAGAATTTAGGAATAGAACCAAAGGGAGAGGGGAGACTTCTTTACTTTAGTTTTTACAACTGCATTTTTTACAACGTATGAAAAAACATTCAGGTACGAAAAATATATGATGCAGATTAACACGCGATTGTACTCACGGATCATTTGACTTGGGAATCAAAGTACCTAGTTCTTTAATGCGGTCATTTATGTTAAATCTTCTTCTTCGTTCAACTTCAAGAAAAGAGCACAGGAAAGGCTATTAGTAACAGTGCCATGTATGCATTTAGCACATCTCATTAAAGGCATGTGCATATTAACTTCTCCAGGTCATGACAACGGAAACCTGAACCTACTTTTTCCCTATTTTTACTATGTTCTTGGTATTGCAGTTAAAAATGAGCTACATTTCTTTACCATTTCCAAAGCCCTTAGATACAGACGATTTCTCATTTGTTCTTATAACAACCCTGAAATCAGTTACTATCCTTAGTTACAAATAATGAAATTGCCTTGGAGATACTGTTATTAGGGACTTGGCGAGGACATCCAACAATATCTGGTGAAAGCCCAAATTCTAACCTAACCCCTTAGAGCAGAAGTCAGCAAACTTTCTGCAAAGAGCCAGGAAGTTAGTACTTCTGGCTTTGTGGGATAAGTAGCAAAATTGAGGATATTATGCAGATATTTACTTAAGCGGAGGGAAAACAAATTTCCACACATTTTTTACTGACAAAATTCAAAATATAACATACGAGTACAATTTTTTGCAAGGCAAATCAATGAAAAGCATTAGAATTTACTTGTCATGCTGAAATTTGCGTTGTATATACTTTTCATGTCACAATTTTTTTTTTAGCATTTATTTATTTATTGAGACGGAGTCTTGCTCTGTCACCCAGGCTGGAGTGCGGTGGCAGGATCTCAGCTCACTGCGACCTCCATCTCCTGGGTCATGAGATTCTTGTGCCTCAGCCTCCCAAGTAGCTGGGACTACAGGCACATGCCACCACACCTGGCTAATTTTTGTACTTTTAGTAGAGAAGGGGGTTTCACTGTGTTGGCCAGGTTGGTCTCGAGCTCCTGACCTCAAGTGATCTATCCGCCTCAGCCTCCCAAAGTGCTGGGATTACAGGTGTGAGCCACTGCGTCCGGCCTTTTTTAACCATTTAAAAATGTAAAAAACATTCTTAACTCATGGGCCACACAAAAAACCCATGCCCTAGCCTAGTGCTACCCAACAGAAATATAATATAATTTACATATAAGTTTAAATTTTCTAGTAGTACTATTTAAAAAGTAAAAAGAAAGACATGAAATTAACATTTTCTTAAATCCATTATATCCAAAATATTATTATTTTAACAGGCAATCAACGTAAACATTTACAAATTAAGTACTTAACATTCTTTTCTTCACTCTAAGTTTTTGGAATCCAGGGCGCATTTTACACTTTCAGTTTTACGTCACAATTTGGACCAGCCATATTTCAAGTCTGAGTAGGCACCAGTGGTGAATGGCTACTGTACTAGATAGCACAGCCCTAGAACTGAAGTCTAGCATTTTTAGCTGTACCATGAATCTTCACAGCATTCCTATTTTATAAATCTCAGTGTAAGGTCAACTATCATGTTCTTAGGGGAGGATGACATAATAAGGCATATGACATGATAAATGTCTCTAATTAATGTAGTCAAACAAATAAATTCCAAATAATTTAAAGTCTAACAAAATGGATTAAAGTTGTTAATAGTTACTCTAAATACCAGAATATATGCTTCTTTTTGTTCCACTAATAGTCTGTACACCTAGATAAATAATGTGATTCCCTGCTTTCCCAATATAAATTGCAGTTTGTTTTGGCTGAGGGATTATTCCAATGATGAAATCCGTTTTATATAATACGAAGTCCTACCATTAGGCTTGTATAAAATAGAAACCCTAAATGATGGTCAATGGTTTTGAAGAAGGAATTGTGGGGTCCTTGATCCACTAGCTAACCTTCCCCAAAACTCTGAAGTATGATACTTTCTTCTTATTTTTTTTCCAAGCACATAATAATCATAAAATTACTCTAGCCCCTCTGGCTCCTTGCTATTCCTCAAGCAAGCCAGACACGCCCCATTGGAGGACTTCATAAGGCTGTTCCACCTGCCTGGAACACTGTACCTCCAGATATGTGAACAGCACTGCACTCACCTCCCTCAGGTAGACTCAGATTTACCTAAGAGACTTTCTGGTCACCCTCTTTGAAACTGATTCACTACCTCCCATGTCCATGCTGACACTATACTCCCTTGCCTGCCCTTTGACTCCACGTGGAACTTTCTGCCATCCCATATTCATGTATCCCATTGATCTATTTGTTATGTTTATTCACTGTTGCATTCCAAGTAACCTTGTGCATCTGGCACATAGTACGCTCTCAACAAATATGTGTTAAATAAGAAACAAAACATTTAAAGTGGGATCATACTAAAAAGGACTCTGCATCTTTTTTTCACTCACCAGCATATAGCTGACACCTTTCACTGTCAATATTTAGGTGTACTACATTTTATTTTTAGTTCCATGACTTCCCTTTCCAATCATTTATTAGAAAGAAGATATAAGCTAGTAAAAAATTTCAAAAAATACAAAGGTGTATTAAAGAAAAAGTAAAAGCCAAGTCTTTATACTATCCAACATCTATATGCCTGGGCAAATTGTCACTGATAAGGGTGATGTCTAGATTGTCTCCCAAGCACATATACATTCATATAAACACAGAGACAAGCACGTCTCTCCCCAGTGTGCTATTTTTACACAATGGGATATTATACATATTATTCTGACCCTTGCTCATCTTACTCAGCAATACATGGTAGATGACCCCTAACTCAAAGGCAAGCTTCCCAGGATGGGAAACTCATTTTCTGGTTCACATTGTAGAAAAGTGCCTCACACAAAACAGGGGCGCTCTCTCTCTCTTTCTTTCTCTGTCTCTGTCTCTGTCTCTGTCTCTCTCTCTCTCTCTCTCTCTCTCTATATATATATATATACATACATATATATATATACACACATATATATATATACATATACATACATATATATATATACACACATACACACATACATACAGTAATGGCTGATTGAATGAGTGAATAAATGAATGTATCCTTTTGTACATTTTGGCAATATTCTTACAAAATAAATTCCTAGAAGAGGAACAGCTTGACCAAGGGGCAATCTAACCTTGAGTATTAATTCCCAATGGTTGGCTGAGACTTTTAGATTGCTTCATAGCCTTCAGAGTTTGAGCTGATCATGTTTGCACTTTACTGACAACCTTGACCTTGAGAGTTCAGGTGCCTAATTACAGGTATCTATTGTTTTTGACAAGATCCAACTCAGTTTTCCACATCTCACTTAAGTAGTTTTGGATAATGCCTAATTATCTTGTTTCTAAGGTGTTTTAAAAGAAGAAATATCTTAGGGTAAAATTACTTAGAAGCTGGAGGAGGCCTTGGAGATAATAGTTTATCTCTTGGTTAAAAGATAAGGAGAGCTTCTTACACTTGACATGAGAACTGGGGAGGGGTGTAGCTTTTAAAGTAAAAACCAGCACCCACAGGACCCAGAAGTTGTGCCTCTCAGTTCGGTTTCTAACCTAGAGAAACAAACTTTCTTGTACACAAAGAGACACATATAAAAATGTTAACTGTGGCATTGCTTATGATAGGAAAAAACTAGAAACAACATAAACACACAGCAGTTGGGAAGTTACTAAATATCATACAGTCACACTATAAAATACTATGCAATTTGTTTTCAAAAAGTAGATAGATCTAGATTTCTAACAGCAAAAGGTCTTCAAAACATGCTGCTTAGTAGAAAAAAATCAACATAAAATGGACAATATGATACCGTTTGTGTTAAAACATATAGAAATCCATATGATTTATTTTCTGTGTGCATGTGTCTATATTCTTAATACACAGAAAAAGGTCAGGAAGAGCAATGCCAAATTGAAACCAACACGCATATTCCTGGGGACTAAAGGGGAACTCTGGCCTTATTCTATCATTTTTATAAGGAGAAAGTGTTTATATATGACTCACATTCTTAAAAATCAATTTAAGAAACAGAGGACATGAGGCCATGAGATGAGAAATTCACACACAATTTCCTACCTCCAAGCCCAATCCCTTTTTAAAAAAATCTGTGCAACTTGTCTTACATGTTTATATTAAACCAAAATTAAAGTATTCGTAGGAGACAACTTGAAGATTTGATCAAGAGTAAATTAAACACGTAAAAAATATTTTAAATGCTTTAGGGCTATTTTTTTTAAGTCACGAATCATGTCAGAAATTTAGGAGGCTGCCTCATCCATTTACTCCCCTTCAGATCTGTTTCTTTCTTTCTTTTTCTTTCAAATCTCATTGGAGAAGGTGCTTCCCTAATCCCCTTTTGTTAATAAGTTCCAGTGTGAGCAACACTTATAATTGGGTAGTTGGGGATCAATTCTCCCTCTTACCAAAAAGAGAGAGAGAGAGAGAGAAAACCACTACTAGAAACAAGAAAAATAAAAACTCTTCAGAAACTGAAAATAAGTATATATACAAAATTCAATTTGATCTGAGATAAAATATGGGGAAAATATATACCTTGGTTTCTGTCAAATACAATTTTCTTCCATAAGAGAGAATTTTAACAGCTGTAGGAATCAACTCTCCTCTACAGAATTTCTGGAAACATTTTTGATATATGGGGAACATTAATATCAAATGTCATGAACATAAATAAAACCAACTTACTCAGGTTGTGATTGTCCTTTTTCTGCCTCTCTTTGGCCAGTGCTCTTGCTTCAGACTCTGTGGGAAAAATACACGCTGTGCACGTGAATGAAGTCATTAGAAGTTGGAACTGTTTGAAGTTGCACAAAATGTAAACTACAAAATATCTCATTTCCCAAACATACAGAAGCTTATTTGACTTGACTCTAAGTAAAAATACGTTTTTTTAAAAATGATATCTTTTTAAAAAGCTTGCATGTTTTCAAAAGCAATATATATATCATATATACAATATGTAAAAACTGGGCTTCCACAAAATGGTAAAAAAAAACCCTGGTAAAAATTATATATAGCACACTGTAAACATATACAGATACTAGCAAGAAAGAAATCGATAATTAGAAAACTATGTCAATTTGCTGTTGATACTCTATTATCAGGGGTCTGATATATTTTCTTTTCAGGCCATAGAAGCTTTCAATCCTTTTTTGATGCCTGTGTAACGTGCTGATATAAAAACTGAGTAGTGGCCCAGCATGGTTGCTTGCACCTGTAATTCCAGCACTTTGGGAAGTGGAAGTGGAAAGATCACTTGAGCCCAGGAGTTCAAGATCAGCCTTGGTCTTTACAAAAAATAAAAAAAAATAAGTCCAGCATGGTGGTGCATGCTTGCAGTCCCAGCTACGGGAGGCTGAGGTGGGAGGATCACTTGAGCCCAGGAGGTCGAGGTTGTAGTGAGCCGTGATCACACCACTGCACACCAGCTCAGGAGACACAGAGAGACCCTGTCTCAAAAAAAAAAAAAAAAAAAAAAGCTGCCAAATTGGATCTCTGTCTCTTCTAACTAGTTCACTACTTCATAGAATGAACTCATTTTTTCAGAAGTTGGTGCCAGATTCTGTTAAAACCTGCTGTAATGAAATCATCTAATAACTTAGGAACCACTATTTACTAGCTTGAGTCTATAAAAACAAAATAGGAATAGAGGCATTTGGTGGCAACTGCAATTGGAAAGCTCTATTTGCATAGCAACTCTTGTGACATCTCTGGGATAAGAGATTACTTTTTGCCTTACAGAGAACAAAACAAAACAAAACAGAATTAAAAACAAAACAAAACATGTTACTTGACCAATCTGGGGATCCAGAAAGCTCTGTTATTTCCTTTTCAGAAGTGATAGCTGAAGCATTACACTACCATAATTTAGAATTTTATCTCAAAATAGAAATCTTTTTAGCATAACTTATAGCCACTGAAGCATATATATATATATATATATACACACCATATATATTTATTATATGGGTGTTATATATGTATATATGCATATCTATATGCATACATCCATGTATATATGCATATCTATATGCATACATCCATGTATATATGCATATATATGCATATCTATGTGTGTGTGTGTATGTGTGTGCATATATATATATATATATATATATATATAACTCAGAAGTTGAATTCTTTCAGTTGTGATGGTCAGTTCAAATCATTTTCTAGTTTTTTTTTCCTCACACAGAAGCATGACTTACATACCCTCCACTTCAATGATTCTTAAGTTGTTGTTGTTGTTGTTGTTTTGTTTTGTTTTGCTTTGTTTTGAGACAGGACTCATTCCTCTTGCCCAGGCTGGAGTGCAGTGGTGTGATCACAGCTCATTGCAGCCTGGAACTCCTGAGCTCAAGCAATCTGCCTGCCTCAGCTTCCCAAAGTGCTGAGATTACAGGCGTGAGCTACTGTGCCTGCCCGACGATTCTTGCTTTTGTTGTTGTTGTTGTCTTGCAGTAATTTTCCTTTTTGGTAGGGTAGCTACTTGTGTTTTGGTTTTGGATGGTTTTTACTTATTAATTACTCTTTTCACTCAAATCCATGGTTTTTAAAAAACATCTTTCTCCTGCTTATTTTCTAAAAAAAATTTTTTTAAGACATCCTTGACTGGAACAGGAATTCTCTGTACCAAATCCATATTCCATATTCTCAGTCTGTTCATCCAATCCTGCAGGATGCAAGGATCAAATAATAAAAAGAGGGGTGTGGTAAGGGCCATAAAATTCACCATGGTAGAATGCCAGTTCTAATATAGTTTCCGCCATGTTTTAATGACCAAATAAATGCCTTCCCTAAAGCATTAAGCAAAGTAGAGAAATAAGTAATTTCACACTTGCCTCAAGAACAAATAATATCCATTGCTCCATTTTATAATTTTTTCCCCTCTGTGTAATAAATCTTTTGCACACAATACAGCAAAAGACAACAGGAGGCATCTGAAGATGTGAGAAATATATTCTTATGCTATCCCAATTGTGGGCTTGAATGTGTGTCAAAGGAAAATTCAGATCTGGGTTCTCAAATGCAAATGCCTCTAGGGGCTTGTTAGAAACATACATATCAGGTAGGGTGGAGACAGTTACAGCTGAAAGAGTTGCCTACTATCCCCAACACAAAGGGGACCTTCACCACACACACAGTGATTGGTGACATGCAGTAATGGTGGCCCCGATTCCCAGTATCTCAGGAGATTTTCAAGGATCTCCTTGAAAAAAAACAGAATTTTCAAGTATAAATTCTCCGTCTTAAAATATTGCATAATGTTTTAACCACTGCAGAGACCTATAAAAGTTACGTCCATGAGTTGGATATAGTTTGCACATCACTATATCAATAACTTTGTCTTATCAGGAAATGGACAGAAATCTGCAGTAAGAGGCACATTTACTAGGTGTTTACCTGTGAGCTCCCTTTTTATGTTGGGAAGGTTGGCTGGACAGGAGTTGCTGATGGTGAGGCCTGGTGGGGGCAGACCTTGGTTTCCATAAAGATCAATCAAGTTTCCCGAGACAGGCAACTAGAGAGAGACAAACAGTAACAGAAATTAACTGTTGAACAATTCCCATGTTTTTTCAGATAAAACCTATATCCTACTCTAGGATTTATTTAAGAAAAATTATTTGATACAAAAAATCATTTTTAAAATAGGAAAATATGAGATGTTTACTTTTTCATTCACAGGTATTAAAAGAGAGGTACAGGATCTCCTCAACCAGTTCCCTTTGAGGCAGGAAAGTACAGTCTCACACCCATAAAATGACTACTCTAACTAGCCAGTCAGTTTATTTTGAGCATGGAGGCAATGAATAATGTGGTGAATGCATTATCTAGTACAACTAGTAGCAAACAGTGGGTGTTCAGGAAATGTTGGCTATTATTGTAAAACAGGATTGTATATAAAATGACCTTTTCACCAAATAGGACTTTCCATTAAAGTTAATTTTGTTCCTTCCTTCTCGTATCCACCTCTTCTTCTCACTTTTTCTTTTACAAGGAAAAGCAATGAAAGTTTTTTTTTTTTTAATTGGAAATGATTTCCTTATTGCTAGAGAGAAAAAGCGTTTCCTTGAAATTGAAATTTTCCACAAAGCCACAAGAGGGAGCCCACAGACTTTAAAAGAGAGCAAAAATTTACACTTTCAAGAGAATAATAATAAAAAAAAAAAGTAAAAGAAATATTTAGCCTTCCCCAAGCTAGCGTCAGAGTTTTTCCTCTAGTTCTGAATGGGCTGTTTTAAAGCAGCGAGTCCTCCTTTGGTTGTGTATGTGCATTTCTTGGTAACTAGCTGGTTGCAGCAGTTTATAGGCCTGTTTTTGTAGAAAAGGCCCAAGTTGATCTCCCTTCCCATGCCCTGAAATACAGTTTGAAATAGTAACTATGGAGAAATCGTTGACTGACCTCACTCCTTCCACTGCAGACACGTACCATTACTAGATTGATTCAAACAATTTCTATAACCATGATTACTGGGTAAGACTTTAAGTCGTTTAGCCCTCCCATTTCTTGATTACACATGGAATTGTATTCTACATCTGAGAAAAGTACATTCAGAAAGCATTTAGGTGTGATTAAAGTGTTTAGTGACTGAGAAGTATCTAGTAAAAACTGTATTCAACAGAGTACCTTGCATCCTCTCCAATGACCACTAACATACAGATGAAAATATACCACAAAATACAAGTCGAATGTGCTTCCCCTCATTGATAACCATTGCATCTATTTCTGTGATAGCCTCTAAACATATACTCTATGAATTAAACCCCTAGCTAAAGAGATTTGGGTGGGAGGCAATGGACATGGAATAAGATACTTCTTGATGGGTGAATCAGACACTGGCTCGAACAGAATTGGGGTAGGCAGGGAGGACAGACAGACCAGCAGAATACAACTCCCTCTTTTGCTCCTTTTTGAAAGCAGCGTTTATAGTATATGCATAAAACCTAATACACATACCCCCATACACAGGCACAAAAATAGACATCGTGGTCATTTAAAATGCCCTTGTATGGTATTTCAAGGCCCTCTAACTAAGGAATTGATAAAAAGTGACTTTGATTATTAGCTGTCATTTCACTAAGTGGTTTTAGTTGAAATAGGTTACCTTCTCAGGGTCAACCTTGCTCTGTGTGTGTTTAGTTTTATTCTTGTCCAATTTAACGCAAAGTGAAAGGCACTCACATGTTTCAAAACAGCCCTGTAAAGTACCAGAAAGACTAAACTTATACAGCTGCCATGATGTCTGGTAACTCCTTGGATTCCAAAGCTTTATTCCCCTATCTTTTGAGAATTTTGGATTTTGGGAAAACGTTGAGGTTTTAACAAACCAAGAATGTGACTTGAAAATTCAAAGCAATAAGCTAAAAGAAAAATTATTCCACTTGCTCTAGAAAGGTAAATCACACATATGGTTTTCATAGGCAAATTGTATGCAAAACTCACTGTGTTATTATGATGATTTGTTAGGGATAAATAATAGCAACTGATACACATCTCCAAGTCATTGATAGACCTATGTTGAACAGATATCTAATTCTAAGCTTCTTCTGGACAAGAACATATTTTCTAACTATATTCTAAAGAAGAGATATGTACATGACTGAGAGAGAGAATGCTTTCTGCCATAGACAGCGAGATGGACAGGGTGGGGGAGACAAAGAGCAACGTGGGGGATACCTAGTGAGAAATGGATTGAGATGCATGAAAAACTACAGAAAGTACTGCTGTGATTAGCATGGATTGACGACAGTGCACATCAAAAAGGGAAATGAATTAAAATCCCTATAGCAAGATGCCTCATTGGGCACTCTACTGAGATCAGACATCATTACTTCCAGTTGAAAAAGCTTATAGCCCTCTATCTACTTCTCTGAAAGATTTCCTGCTTCGGCTGCTTTTCCCATACTTGCTGATTAGGAGTGGGAAGCAGAAAGCATGGCAGAATATTTTGCTGGGGGTCATCTCATTTTTTGGGTGCCTACTTTGGGCCAAGCACAGAATTAAAATGGCACTTTGTGTATGGCATCTTACTGCTTTTTACAGAAAGAAAAGCCAAGATTTTTGCCATTGCCTAATGGAGGTTTTTGGTCGGAGGCTCACGTCCCATGTTAACAGCAGAACTGGGGGTGGGGAGAGTATCAACATGCTGATATTAACCAGTTAGAAACTGCAAACTTTCAATTCATCTCCAATTAGACCTGAGGAAATAAAAACCCTGCCGCTTACTAGCCGAATGTGGATACTCCAATTTACCGATTAATGGTGCAGAACTTTATAGCCTGTGCTTAGGAGTCAGAGATCCGGATTAAAATCCTGCCTCTTTACGAACTTGCTATGTGATATTAAGCAAGTTCTCTGAGGCTTAGTGTCTCCAATTGAAAAGTGACAACATTCTTCTCACAGGGGTCTTATAAGATTTAATAGAGATAAAGTAGGTGAAACAGTGCCTGCTACTTCAGTGATCAATAAGTGGTAACTGCTATGATTAACAATACAGTATTCTAATTTTCTAGGGAGTACTGGATTCCCACTTTACAGTTTTGACAGGTGAGCTAATTTTCACTTGATCAACAAAACCACTTGCTATGTTAATTACTAAGTACATTGTCAACGATTAGACAATTTTTTACCAGACTGCAATGCAAATCTAGGAACAGAAATCAGGGAATCTGCAAGGCTGAGGTGACCAGTCATTATTCCAAGTCAGGCATTCCACACTAGAGCTGATTTTGTTTCCCCGGATCAATATCTGGAGGTATTTTCAGTTGATGCACCTGCAGGGGATTTGCTGCTGGCATCCAGTGGGTGAAGGCCAGGGATGCTGTTAAGCATCCTAAAATGCACAGGACAGTCTCCCACCACAAAGACTTATCCATCCCAAATGTCAACAGTTCCACATTTGAGAAACTGTGTCCTAAATGGTGGTGTATGTTCTTTCTATCAACCGCTCTTATTTGCTGAAGCTACTAAAAGGAAGGTTGATGGAAATAATTTAAAATGTGTCTCCTAGCCATGCATTTTAAAGAAAGGATTCTGTAGTTGGTTCTTCTGCATTAGAAAACTTTCCCGATAAATACAGTTAACATCATAATTAGGTCAAAATAACACCTTTAGAGCTAAGAAAAAGGAAGAGACTTCTTCTATTAACATGTATATTTCACATCTTTGTGGGATTTTTATCCAGGCCATTTACCTAAATGACAAGATTTCACTTCCAGAGCACAAACTGCACCATGGACAGATGAAAGCCACAGTCTAATCCGGACAAACAAATTGAAGGAAGATGCGCCTGGGTCTATGCCCCCATACTGGTCTGAATTGAGTTCTTCAATGTTGTGCTCCACCAAAATGAATATTTTTCCAAGTAAATGATAATTGTAAAACGTTATTATTTTTTCTCTCTGGATGGTCCCCTTTTCTGAATATCAATTGAGCACTGTTAACACAAGTAAACTGGGACTTTTATTCTTTGTTTGTGATAGTACAAGAGGGCCCTTGTGCTCTCAGAATAGTTATTTCTAGACTTCAATTCCCTTAGGACAGTTTCCTCTCTAAGTGTTCCTTCCACTTTATTTTTTCCTAAGTAGTTAACTTGAAATAAAGCATTTCAAATAATCAAATAAAAGAAAAAAATGCCTAACACGAAGAACATTAAACTTTACTGTGGGAAAAAATTAAAATGTTAATAGGTTGCAGTAGCTTTGTTACTTAATTTTGACAACTAAAACCCAAGTTCATCAAGAATAAGAGCTAGTAACTTACTTTTAGTGAGAGCTTATCAGGGCCCAACTGTTCTAAATGCTTTTTGTGGGCTACCTCTTATAATTCTCCCATTAATTCTATTGCAGTAGATGCTATTATGATCCCCATTTTACAGACAAGGAAACACAAGCAGAGAGGTTGAATCACTCCGTCAAGAGTATGTATTCAGATGTCTGGTTCAGAGTCTGTGCTCCTAATGTTGAAGTTACATTGTCTTTCCCCTAATGGCAAAATGCTGAAATAGATTTGTTGAAAGACTCTAATGGAGCCACATTTAGCCTTTCCAGTATGGGGATAAAGAAGAGAAGTGGATGCCGGGATAAAGTCAGTGACTTCTAAGGGTGGCTGCAGGGGACTCCTCTCCTGTCTGGGAGTTAATTCAACTCTGCCCAGAGGATCTTTCTTATCTGGAAATTCCCTTGAGATGGCCTCTCTGCTCCTGAATTGTCCTTCTCCCCTCAAGGGCTAAAAGAGTCTCCCCCTTCTAGACTGGTAACCCCCGTGAGAACAGGAAGCACACCTTAGTCACCTTCGCATCCACAGCACCTTGCCTGGTGCTGGCCACCTATTAGGCATATCCATAAATGCTAAATTAATCTTTAATATACTTTCGGAACAACGAGATAATGAAGGAACAAGGCCTCAACGCTAATGTAGATGGAATGAAGAGGTATGAGGATTCATTCTACTTTTTTATTTTTAAATGTGTTTTCTAAAAACAGGGTCTTGCTCTGTTGCCCAGGCTAAAGGACAGTGGCACGATCATGATTCATTGCATCCTTGAACTCTTGGTCTCAAGTGATCCTCCCATCTCAGCCTCCTGAGTAGCTAGGACTATAGGTATGTACTACTACCCCACCCAGCTAATTTTTTACATTTTTACAGAGACGGATTCTCTCTAAGTTGCCTAGGCTGATCTCCAACTCCTGGTCTCAAGTGATCCTCCTGCCTCAGCCTCCCAAAGTACTAGGATTACAGGCGTGAACCATGGACCCAGCCAAGTATTCATTCTAAAGGACAGAAGCATATATGGGGTCATGACAACTGTCTTCAGAAGGGGTGGTATGTGGAAAAGTTCTCCATGAAGCAAACTGGGACCCATGCTGCAATTTACAGAGTTATTTACTGTGAGGGATATTGTGAGATAGATATGTCTCACAGATAGCTAACATAGAGCTTGATACATTATAGGGGCTCAGTGAAGATCAGCTGAATAAACAAATACTATCAATATTATTTGATATTATAATTAATAAGTTATACTTAATAATTTAGATAACATTATTGAATACAACTTATGTTTCCAATGCTAAATACTACAGATGCTTTACCAAGTGAGTTGACCACATAATATAGGTATATATAACAGCCCCATTTTACAGATGGGGAAATGTAGGGTTTCAGGAAGCTAAATAACATGCAAGGTCACAGAGGAAATGGAAGATTCAGGGTTTGACCCCAGATCTGGTCAGAAACCTCTAAATTCTAACCATTGTGCTTTGCTATTTCCCTAGTGAGCTAGTACAGATCCTTTTTTGGAGGCTTCCAAGAAGCTGGATGCCTTGATTTTTTTGTGGAGAATACTAACGAGATGCAAGAGAAGGTCAGGCCAGGTGTAGTGGCACACACCTATAATCCCAGCTACTTGAGGGAGGAAGATCACTTGAGCCCAGGAGCTCAAGATCAGCCTGGGCAACAAAATGAAACCCTGTATCAAAAAAAAAAAAAAAAAAAAAGAGGAGGCTAATGCATTGAGTACTAGGTTAGACCAAATGATATCAAAGGTCTTTGCCATTACAAAAAAAGTCAATGATTTTACAGAATCATGTCAATTCTACAGTTCACTTGAGTGTGCCCAGGGACCCATTTGACACCACTAGCAAAATGACCACTCTCACAGCAAAGTTCTTTTGAGATGACTGGGCCATTGCTAATTAATGCTGCTAGAGCAGTGAAATGTAAATATACCCATGTCTTTGGGTATATTTATAAATTCCCCAGGGCATGCTCCCCCAAGTGTTTTACTCATGTTTGTCCTAGGATTCTGAGTGCTAGATAAGTGTAGTTTGGCCTCATAGGATGCAACAACTTGTAAGCAGGAAGGTTCCACAGAAGCCAACCAAGGATTCCAAGAGGTTCGGAGAGTATGGCATGGAAACTTTCATCACAATAGTAGAACACCTGGTTCTTCCAAAATCAGGGGGTGGGTTTAAATGGGTAGAAAGTAGACAAACTCTAAATATCATAAAAGAAGCTTGAGGTTTCAAGGGAAGTCCTCACCCCACATGAGTTCAAGGAAGTGAACTTGAAGAATTGGATCAAGATGGATTTAAAAAAAAAAGAAAAGAAAATGCTAACTATAAGACTCAATTTTCTGAGGATTCTGGTGTACCTAAGTAAGTGTTATTTTGTCCTTTGGCCAAGGGAATTTACTACTGGAAGTTAGTCATACCTTTAAAAAATTTCATTATGGTAAAAAACACATAGGATAAAATTTGCCGTCTTAACCAATTTTAAGTGTATGGTTCAGTAGTGTTATGTATGTTCACATTGTTATCAAACAGATCTCCAGAATTTTTCATCTTGCAAATCCGAAGCTCCATACCCATTAAACAACTCCCCTTTTCCCTTTCCTCTCAATAAATATTGGTCTTTAAAACACTAGTTATTAAGAATATGATAGTCTCATAGCATTGCTCTCAGAGGAAACAGAAAAGGATTGGAGAAGGCATTCAAAGACCTACCAAGCAGGCCTGGCTCTGATACACCCAAGCTATGTAATCTTGCGTAAGACTGTCTAACCTAGTTACAGTTTAAAACTGAGGGCAATGATACCATCCGAACTTGACTCACAGAATAACTGCAAGGACTAAATAAGATGTGCAATAAGACTTTGGTAAAACAGTAACATAAGACTAAAATGTAAGGAATGAAGGAAAATAAACAATATAGGCAAGGCTCTAAATTACAGAGAAAAACAAGTAACATACAATAGCAAATAGGACCACTTGTTTATGAACTGAGGTTGGAATAGATTTTGCTGTTGGAGAAGGGTAACTCCAATGTCCCTCTATCACCTAAGAATATGAGAAAACCTTCTTGAAAAACTGAACCAACTTTTTCAGGCCAACTAGAGCACCACTGTGAATAGTGCAGTTCACAATGGTTCCCTTGGCTGCAGTGTACTGGGTTGGGCATTAGATGTCAAGGGAATTGGAAGGGCTAATGCCCTATCAAAACTGCTCGTGGACTCCAGGGAATGTAGAGTTTTATCATGGGATTATTCATAAACTCATAAAAACTTCTTAATTTCTGATGTTAAAGTCACTTATTTGTGATCCTGAGATAATTCTCCATTTTACTATTAATACATTTAATCAGTGAACCAGTTACAAAGATAAAATAAAAGTTTAAGAAAAAAGAAAAGAACCCTGGAAACACCTCAAGATTTTCTACTTAAAAAAAGGTTATCAATACCGTATTTGCCATTTGCAAAGCAGGATCCATCAAGCCCAAGATTTCCTCATTATAACTTGATTCTAGGCTAATGATGTCATCGATTACATCATCCATCTGTAGGAAAAAGGGTAAGAGAAGAGAGACAAAAATAAATAAACTATGCAACACAACCTAAAAAGAGACTCATGGTCTTTTTTTACCCAAAGCAATAATGGTCTTTAGTTAGATTCTAAGAAGTAACTGTCCTCTTTCCACTAAAATAGTATTGAAGTATAAAATAGTATTGAAGACCATTAACACGAATAGGTGATGAGGATAATACTTGTAGCCAGCATTTAATGAGTGATTATGAGTTGCCAAGCATTGGGTTCGAGGATTTTCATAGGCTAAGATTTTGCCCTAACGAAAACCGTATCATGGCAGGTACTATTATTATAGCAATTTTCCAGGTGAAATAAATGAGAAGCAGCTTGCCCAAAGTCACACACTGAAGAAAGACTGGAGCCACAATTTAACCCATGCTTTCACAACTATGCTAAACTGCCTGCCCTAAACAGGAGAGATGTACCACAGCACTTCATCTTGAATGACAGCTGTCATTCTACTTCCTTTTTTCCCTAAAGACGATGGCCCCTACCCTTTTCTTGCAGAAGGAAAACACCGTCTGTAGTGTTCCACAGGGAAGTGTGGACACTGTGGCTCCCAGGCCACTGGCTATCCCTGCACCCATCTTACAGTGACTTGTAAAATAAGTTTCTCCTTGTACAGCTACCAGTGTGCTTGGTACTCCCCAGGGAGTACACCAGGATGAGGTTATCATTACAGTCGTGGAGCTGACATTCCCACTAGATCAATTTTATTTCTAAAGTACCAAAACATAAGTTATGATAATAAACAACAGTGATTACATGTGCATTGCAGCAGTTGCAAAGACAAGCCTGTGAAAACATTTCTTCATAAACACCTTATGTATTTGAGCTAGTTGGTGTGTCTGTGCTTGGGTCTTAACAGGACTTCATAGTTACACAATGAAATCACAGAACTAACAGGGATGCTCTTCTGTCTCTTGCCACTTCCATTAAAGAGGAGAGAATCCAAAATTCATAGGTTTGGGTTGGAATCCCCGTTCTCCTGCTTTCTAGATTAGGGCAAAGCCTCCAATCTTTTAAAGCCTCAGTTTGTCAATCTATAAAATGGGGGTTCATAATATTTACTGTCTTATGGATTCTTGTATGATTTCAGGACAAACTGTACAGAGCATTCAAAGTACCAGGAACATAGTAAACACTCAAAAAAGGAGTCTTATTAATGACCCCTAAAAAGAATAATTGGCCAGTTTTGAATAACTACTATCCACTGTTTGTTAGGTTCCATTTCTATTGACACCACTTTTATTTGTTTTGTTTGTCTTTAAGAGATGATTTTCTAATTGAGTTGGTAAATATGCAAATAGGCTAGGAAACTTATGAACAACATTTCCTTGCCACTTTTAATTTTGTTCTTAGAAAAATAAAATTAGTGGGCTTGATGTAATAGCATTTTTAAAATATTTTTTTCTCTTATGACAAAAATAATGCAAGTTGATGACAGGAAACATAGAAAGGCAACAAATTTTGTTGCTTATCATTCTCTCCTATATCTATATACATGCATAGATATATAAATAGATATAGCATAATTTATATATCCATTAAATAGGATGTAGTAGAAGAAACTTTAGTTATTTGGGAAAGCATCCATTATATGTTATTAAATTAATATAGTTTCAAAATGTATGTTCCATGAGATTCCATTTAGGAAACAATATCTAGATTATACACACACATCTTGGTTTTACTAATACAAAAATTGCTAACCTACAAATTTGTATAACATATATGGATTATGTTAAAGTACATATTTCATATCTTATTAAAATTTATGTACTTTAAGAAGTTTTTAATCTTTGCAGCAACTTAGGGGAAAAACACATTTTAGTTTATTCTCCCTTGTCATTATTTAATCATGAGATACTATGAGGAAAATGGCAATGTTCCTAGCTTTCTCTATAAAAAAAAAAAAAACAATGGGGGAAAAAAATGCTTAAGTTTTCAGGAAGGTGTGATCCACCACAAATATAGATTCTCATTACAAAGTGTTCATCCTCAGGCTGCCAAGTCATTCAGTACCTGCATACAGGACGCTCGTGAATGTGTGTTCATGCCTGGGCACTCGCTCTCTGCCCTGTTTTGCTCTTCAAACTTATAAAATCCCTGCAAAAACACAAGCAAAAACAGTCTATAACTTGGATTTGCAAATGACTTTTTAATGACCTGTTCACACAAAGCTGATGGCACAGCAACAAGATGAACTAAGCTTTCAAACAAAGTGGAATCTGACCAAAAGATGAAATAATGAAGGAAGAACTTGTGTCAAATCATCTTGCTAGATGACAAATTTGGGTAGAGAAAAATAAAGCAGTTGGTTTGGGCATAGGGGCAAAGATTTTAGTCCCTCTAGAAATTAAAATCAATCCAACTCTAGAAAAGTTGCCTCCGAATTTGCATAAACACTTCATAGTCCATAGTACGGTAAATCCCATTGAGATGAAGCTCATCATCTCATAATTTGGAAATAATGAGCATTAAATCACAGCTCTCAGGTATTTGTATGCTGCAAATTTTGATGCACCAATTAGCTTGAAGGTAGTTTGAGTCTTGTTTCCAATCCAGCCTTCACCAAAGCAGATTTAACGGGCAGTGGCAATTTTATTATGAAACAGAATGTATCCAGCAATTAAACCTTTGCGTTTCCGTTAAAGTCTCATGTGCTATATGATTCAAATCCATCCATGCATATTCCATTCTTTCTTCCCCCAACTCAGGGAGAAATAAAAATAATATTCCAGACATTCACAACAAGCGGAACTTCTAAACAGCATGTCCCACACCTCTTCTATTTTTGCTTTTCCTTTTCCACCTCCCCTTCTCCTCTCTCTGCATTCTCACTGCTTCATAAACTGAAAGGCATGGAAGAGAAGAGAGCACTCAGCTAAGGAAGAAGAAGCAAGTGGCAAAAGTGTCCTCGCCTCCACATTTCACTTGGAGAGGGCCAGGTCTCCCGTCATGTGCTCTACACCCAATAACCCAGCGATGGAGACAACAGGCTGGAATGCCACAGCCACGATGGTGAATCGGGGACAAAGGCTGGTAAATGTGGCCACAAGGACAAACTAGAGTCCACAGTTAAGTGTGGGAATCATATTCAACAGACAAGTTATTTAGCATAAGAAAACAGGAGAGGAGAGGAGACATGAATTACCTCTTTTTCACAGTTGGAGTTAAGCGTAAGCATAGCCATGGGGCTGTTGGGTGCGCTGCTCCCCGGCACCGGTGGCATGACATGATCGCCAGGCTGGTTTGGACATGGCAAGCTCAGGACTTGGTTGGCATGTTTATTTGCTAAAGTGGTAGAAAGGTACTGCTTTACCTGCTGCCGTTGGGCTTGCTGTATGTGGTACTTGGTGGGGTTTTCGAGGTGGGTCTGCACCTGAACATAGCCATGGAGGGAAAAGAAAACAGCGCTGTTATTTGTGAGTTTCAGACGGCTCTTCCTTCAGGCACAAACATGAAACTGACCAGGCCACCAACAGAATAAATTATTAAGCCTTTGTTATGTACCAGGCACTGTGCTAACGGATTTTGATATTACTGAAGTTTAAAGTCTAACTAGTAGGATTTGGTGTAATACTTTGCCCTATTTTATTTCCCTGCTAATTAACTATACGTCTCTTTCAAACCTTGTATCCTTCTTCTCATATCTAATAATTAAAAGTTTGAAATTATCTTAGGGCAAAAATTTCCCCAACACACATGAAAGGGTTTATTAAGATCAAACAACAATGTAGAAGTGGCATAATTGTTTGTTTCACTTTCCTTGGCGAACAGAACAGCTTTCTTTTTAAAACACACACACACACACACACACACACACACACACACACACCTCCTTAAGAACCAACTGTGTAAAATGGCTGTAGAAAATAAATATAAATCTTCCAATGATTAAATCAACTAGTTGTGGATTAATTCTCCCACTTTTCATTTGGACATGATTATTCAACATTGTAATTAAGAAAAAACTCAACATAAAAAGCAATTCTACATTAAGTAGTTTCTTTCAAATGCATAACACTTACACGTATGTGTTTTAAAAGACATGACTATTAACAAGCCAACAGGATGTTTTTTCTCCTTTCCTACAGACATTAATTCAGAACGAGAAATACTTTTCCCCAAAAAACAACATTATTCAATTTTAAGTCACTTTTTTCTTGATAAAGACAATTTAATCTTATGAGCAATGAACAGGAGCTGATGAAGATAGTTTAGCCACACACTAGGCCAAAAAAAAAAAAAAAAAAGAATCCTACTAATATTTACTTTGTTCAAAACTACATTGAATTACTTCTTATGGCATCAAATAATAAACAGCATTAAAAGAGCAGATTTATACTTATTGAAAACAGTATGTCTATTACAATAACAAAAAGTGGATTAAATCAATTTATTGCATTATATTTCAAAGACTGAATATGAGTCAGAATAAATCTCACCTGATAGTGATTATATTCTAGCATTTCCAGCATAACAATGTTTTAGGTGGCACCAATCCAGTGAGAGACGGTAGACTATCCCTCCCTCTACTTTCTATAATTCCAATTTGAAGATGGACTGGCAAAGAGAAGGTACTATAAACAAGGTATCCCGAGACACCACCGGAAACTTTATCACAGAAGCCCTGCTTATAATAACCTAAGCTAATTAGTTATGCATGTAAAAAAAAACGTTCACATAAGGGCCTTTTTTTTGGAAGCCCTACGAGTTTGGTCTTAAATGTTGATATCAATTTTTCCCCCTGGCTTGACGTCATGCTTTTTTTCATAAATATAAAAGAACCTTTTTAAGTGACGAGCTATCAAAGTCAAACTCACTGTCAGATCAAGGCCAATTCACTATTCATCTTTAGTTCCAGTAGTATTAATAGACAATGGTATTTCTCTTTCAGCAATAGGTTAATAGCAGAATGCCCCTTTGGAGGAGACATCATCTAAAAGCTACTATTACATGAGACTTTTCCAATGGCCGAATAACTGCCACTTCCGACTGCAGGATGACTATCTTTTAGTATAGAAGAGAAGAGACTCTGTGCTGAATGTTCAAGTTCAACAGCCTCTTCTTGCATCCTGGTCTTAATATGCACCTTATTCTTAGCTACATAGATGTGTAACCTGCCTATTGACCTCACATCAGGAAGACCGGGCACTATCCTAAATAGAACATAGCACACACAGAAGTGGATATATATTTATGTGGATAATAAGAAATAAATATCTCCCCTATTTAATTCTCAAATGAAAAAAGCATGAGCATTTTTGCTGAGAATTTTTACATATTATTCTTAAGATTACAGAAGAATGAGTTATCATATACAACACTGATATATTTACATATTTATTCCTTTATTCATTCATTATTGACTGTTAAGTGCTAAACACTGTACAAAGCATAGAATATACATTGTGAACAAACAGATATAGTTTCCAGCTTTATGAAACTTATATTCTGGGGTGAGGCAAAAAAAGAAAAGAGGCAAGCAAATATATACTTATAAATTATGATAAATGCTTAATATCTACTGCTGACAAATGTTATGTTAAGCTAAAAATTTGAAGTTCAATAATGTTGTCTAAATGCCCAGGATAATGCAGTCCGTTAGGTTGACAATCTCATATTGTTTCAAATGACTGATTTAATATGTACACAGAGGTTCACAGAGATTTTTTTTTTATAAAGGGTCCAGACATGATAATGATGACAGTAGACATTACTAAAATAAACATAAAATGAGGGCAATGAGTAGAATGTGCTTATTTCACTATTACACTTAAAAAGAAAAGAGATTCATGTTTAAAAATAAATGTTAATTCACTGGCAGATCCTAATTCTTTAATGAATCAGAATATTATGCTTTAGTAAAGAAAGAAGCAATTTGCTTTCTATGTGGCACTGTCAGTGAGGTCTTTATTACATCCAGGTTTGGGTAAGCAGAATGGGATATATTTGGCTCTTTTACTGTTAATAACTTTTTATTTTTCACGTAAGTTGAAAGCAGATGGCCTATAAACACTATGCAGTAGACAGAACATCTCCAGCTGTTTCTAACCCAAATACCTCAAACAGGCAACATAAATGAGGAACATGAGCTACGAGGAAGGTAATAAGGAGTAGTGAGGTCTGTGGCAAACCAGAGGACACACATCTATCTAGCAGGAACAGCAGATAAAAACTGCAGCTGATTGTGGCCATGTGGGAATATGAGTCCAGCCTAGCTCAAAATCTCCAAATTTTTCAAGGGTAGCTGGCAATCCAAACTTCTTTTTTAAGTAAAATCCTCCAGGTTTAAAGATCCGATGCTCAACTGTTTTGTGTTTCACAGAGTACAAGCCTCGGCCCACAAACTACTAGAAAATAATCTCTATTTTACACTGTCTATAAGGATAATCTTCATATTTACATTCCCTTGGAGATAGCCTAGGTTATGGGAAGAAGTTTCTCTTCTGAGAAATTAGTCCAAATCCAGGCATTTCCTGGTGCTTCTTTGAAAGACAATGTGCCTGACAACACAGACAGTGGAGTTCTTAACTTGAAACCTGGGTTCAGATTCTATCTTTGCAACTTAACAACCCGTGTACCTTCTGCAATTCATTAACTTCTCCAGGCCCTCATCTCCTAGCATATTGAATGGGAATGACAGTAGAGCTTGCCTCATATGTGTGTTTTCTGCATTAAATGAGATCATGTTTCTAACGGCCTTAGCACAATATCTAAAACAGCAATTCTCAAACATTTTTGTCTTAGGATCCTTTTACACTCTTTAAATTTATTGTGTTTACATGGATTATATCTATCAATATTTAGCATATTAGAAATTAAAATTGAGAATTTTTGAAAACACACGATTATACATTAGTAGATATCTCACAGGATGTCAGAACAATGACATCTCAACACGACATGTAGCCTTCGGAAAACTCTATTGTTTACTGGTGAAATGAGAGTGAAAAAGGAAAACAATATCTTAGTGTTATTCTGAAATAGTCCAGATCTGGCAGAACTCCTGCAAGGGTCTTAGATACAACCAGGGCCCTCTGATCACACTTTGAGAACCCCTGATCTAGAATGTGGTTGGCATTCTAGCATCATCACTGCACCAGCAATGTCACTCCCCACTGTGGACAGGTGGTGTGTGACATAGCCTCTCTATGTTTACTTCCCTCCCTGAGAAGATGCTGGAGAAAGATACTAACCCTGTCCAAACTCCCTCATAGCATTATTATGAGGCTCTATAGCCCTTTGACAACTTAAAAAGCCATATAAATATAATTTTCTGTCTTCAGCCACCCTAATTCATAGCTTTTTAGTCAATAACTTTGCTTTCATTAATTTTTAAATAGCCAAAGAAGTATGCAAATGAGAACATATATGTAGCATTAAAGAGGACAGAAACATCTTTATGATTTCCTGATAATGTTTGCATGTTTTTGACTTTCCAGATGACTAACCACACTAAGAAATTCAGATAGCAAAAGTTGAGTACTGCTGAACACCTGAAGTATAGACAGCAAAATAAAGCTAGAATACTTTATCATAAAATATTATTTATTGATATAACTTATATTTCATATAAATTATGCTAGCTATCTGAGTTAAAGGGCAAACACCCAAAGGCTTTGTAACTTTTATTCATTGTTAGCACTCCTGTAATTTCACCTGTTTCCTTTCTTCATTCAGATCTTGAATGGATAGCAAGAGAATCGGAATGGATCACCTCCTAACTGTCACACTTCAGCTTTACCACTTCCTGGGTAAAACTGACAGGTTATTTTCCATCAGTTTCATTCTAAAGAGATCCTGGAGCACATCACATGTCAGTTTAAGATGGTAGCTATAGATACTACCATCTTGGCTGACAACAGAATTTACTGGGGAAGAAATATCCCTATCTAGATATCCACTATTCTTCTATTCTCTCTACTATTTGTAAACCAGAATTCAAGTAGAAGCGAGTGTAGATTTTCTTAATCCTTTTAGTTTATTTATTTATTTATTATATTTTTAGAGATAAGGGTCTTGCTATGTTGCCCAGGCTGGAGTGCAGTGGCTATTCACAAGTGCAATCATGGCACACTACAGCCTTGAACTCCTGGGCTCAAGTGATCTTCCCACTTCAGCCTCCTGAGTAGCTATGACATGCTTCTACACTCAAATGGCTTTATATATATATATTTTTAATAATTCAACAAAATGTTCAGATTTATCACTTATGTTTAGAGAGATAATTTGTTCTTTTGCTCAGCAAGTTTAAAGAAAACTAAAGGGATTACCCTTTAATCAATTGTTATCTATCACCACACCACTATTCTTTTCATACTGTTTTAAAAATGGCAATCCATAGAGAATGTCAGTTATGCAATCATATTTCCTGAAAAAAGCGGTAAAACAGAGAAAGCTAGCTTTCTTAAATAACTAGGATAGTCTTGCAAAAGGTCACATCTGATTAAGTGTCGAGGTTCTTTTCAGTCCCACAATTACATTACCACAAAAGAAAACAAAAGCCCAGAACATATATCCTTGGACATATAATCTTGTTTACTGTACAATCTGTACAAAGCTGTCCTTAACAAAAAGTAAAAACAACAAGGGTATGAATCCTGGCCTAAGGGAGAAGAATCAAAATCAGATGCAAAT
Organism: Homo sapiens; assembly: GCF_000001405.40. NCBI lineage: Eukaryota > Metazoa > Chordata > Mammalia > Primates > Hominidae > Homo > Homo sapiens. The sequence continues at coordinate 69,932,560 of NC_000003.12, read as the reverse complement.
ACAAAGCAAACCAAAGAGTCTTAAATAAAGAAAGGTTCGAAATGGCTATGGTTGACAAACCCAGTGCTTTTTCTCTACAACAGGAGTCTGTCCACCCATCAGCCCAACTCGGTCTGCTGCCTGTATGGTCTATAAAGTAAGAATGGATTTTACATTTTTAAATAGTTGAAAAAAAATGAAAAGAAGAATATTTCATGACACATGAAAATTATATAAAATTCAGATTTCAATGTGGATAAATAAAGTTTTATCAGAACACAGCCACACCCATTAGTTGACATGTTGTCCAGGGCGGCTCCCTTGCTGCAATAGCAGATTTGAAGAGTAGCAACAGAGTCTGCAGGGCCCCCAAGGCCTAAAATTATCTACATTGTGGCTTTTTATAGAAAATGCTGACCCCTGCTCTCTAGGAAAGTTTCACCAAACTAGAATTGAACTTTCCTACTCAACAGAAGTTTTAGCAGGATTTGAAGGAAAGAATGGGGTGATTTTAATAAAGAGAAATAGTATATGTATACGTAATTTTACAGTTGTTTTTCCAACTACTGTCTTAACTGGACAAGCATCTTTGTAAGAATACAGGATATGCTTAATTACCCCCCACCCTTTTTAAAGCTAAAGAAAACAGAAACTAAGAGGAAACCTAAACAACTTGCCAGGGTTAGAAACCATAGCCATGTCTCCATTATTCTGTCCGCAGAGGCGAACTAGAGAAGCTCCCTCTTCTGTGGGTCAGTTCTGATCTAGGACTTTAACTGAATAAGAAGGGAAGATAAAACTGTGTAAATCCAGGGGTGTATTCCAGGTGCATATTCCAGGTGCATATCCCAGGTGTGCACAAATAAATATATATACATTTATATCACATATTTATGGGTCTGTATACTTTCATACTACTTCCTGTCTTATTACATTGTAGGCTTCTGAATTCAGAGAATTGAGCTGTAAATATGTATAAAAGAAAAGGATAACAAATGTACTTTTCTGAAAATTTGATGTTAAAACAGAATAGACTAGACTAGCCCTATCAAAAATTCCCAGCAAGTCTTTTATCCTTAGCTAATGACCTATAAAACAGTATGCTTATTATAAACCACAAGACAGGCATACTTTGGTTTTAGGACAAACAATATTTAGTAGCCTCAGAAAAAAGGTGTTATCATAAGAAAATCCCTAATATATACATTATTTTTTTCTCCCTCAGGCTAAAATAAGCCAAAGACCATGATAATAAAAAGAACATGTGGTTTTATCTCAGCCGAATAGAAGAGAAAACCATTTCTCTTAAATGAGGGTCTTATAAGACATTATGAGTGGATATGTTACATTATATAGCACGATGTTTTAAAATATAAAGAACGGAATTAGTGCTCATTCTCTCAAACTTGTCTACCATGTACCAGATGCCATGCATTTTACATGCGCTCCTAGCTTATGTCAATTCAAAGTAAAAGTAAGAAAGATATGTGGAATAACCACATAAAATAAAAGTAAAAAAGATAGGGGGATAATCACATAAAATATTCTTGAAAGTCTCGACACAGTTTTCTTTTGCTTTTAAACTGTATCATAGCTTTCTGATTGAATACAGAAACAACCACTGAAGATATTTGATTTTGATTGTTTTAACTTCTTACTTTGAGTTGTTCCCATCTGAGAGAGTATACTCAATTGTCCTCTTGACATTCATAGAAAATTAAATACAGGACTGGGAGCAAATGTTAATGTGTACACAAATCACTGGAGGATCTTGTTAAATGCAGAGTGTGATGCCACAAGTCTGGGCTAGAGCCCAAGATTTCTGCATTTCTAACAAGTTGCCAGGGGATGCTGACCCAGCCGGTCCAGGGAACACACTACATCCCGAGCAGCAAGGCTTTCATATGTTCTCACCTGGACTGCTGCCTTCATCAAAAGTTATATGTTCACCATTCAATCAACAAATATTGCTTGAGCACCAACTAGATGCCAGGCAACTGTGCAAATCTTACACAGTGTGTTTAGGTAAGGGCCTCACAGAGTATGACATTGACGCCCAGACCTGAAGTTGGTGAGATGAGCCAGGCAGATTGGCAGGAACGGCATTCCAGCCAAGCATACAGCCCTCAGGTGTGAACAAGCCTTGGTTGCTCAAAGAACAGCAAGGAGGCTCTTAATACATGTTATTTACTTGGCTTTCGATTTACCACACTTGCCTGGTTTTTCTCTCACGTTCTTCATTTCTTCTCACTCTCCTTAGCTAGTTTTCTCCTCTTCTCCCCTCTAAATGTCAGAGTGCCTCAAGGATCCGAGCTTGATTTCATCTATCTACACTCCCAGCCCTGGTGATCGAACCCAGTCACATGGATTTAAGCACCCCAGAACAGAGGTCTCTGAGAACCAGACTCATCTCCACTGGCCTACGAGACGGCACCGTTTGGAGGACTGCAGACTCTCAAGCTCAGCATGTTCATCCACTCTTCCAAATTGGCTCCTCCCACGGTCTTCTGCATTTTCACAGTTGGCAACTCCATTTTTTTCTATTAGGTTGAAACATAGAAAATTGCCATTTTTGTTGGGGGCGGGGGTAGGTCAAAAAATGGTCTTCCTCTGGCTTAACCTAGTTGCTCATTCTACAAATCATGGTTATCTTTGACTCCTTTCTTTCATACCCTGGATCCAACCCATCAAGAAATATTGTTTCCATCTTCAGAAAATAATCAGAATATGATGGATTTTCATGCTCCACTGTTACCATCTGATCCAAGCCACCATCTCTTCAAACTTAGATGATGGAAAGCTTCCTGACTCTTCTACCTGCTTCTGTCTTGGCACTCTGACGGTGTATTTTCAATACAATGAATAGGGGGATCTTGTGATATTGTCAGATCAAGTCATTTCTCTATAGAAACTAAACCAAAACAAACAAAAAGAAAAACCCCACCTCTGTAATGGTTCCCTACTTATTTCTGAGAAAAAAAAACAAAAACAAAGTATTTGCAATGGCCTAGAAGTCCCTACATCAATGCTATTCACAGTGCTTATTAGAAATGCACATTCCAGGGCCCCAAACCAGAGCTAATGAATCAGAATCTCTGGGTATGGTGTTCAGAAATCCACACTAGCTTGTTAGTTCTCCACGTAGATTCTACAGACCCCTGTCCACTGTGCCTACTTCTCCCACTCCACCCCACCCCAGGAGCATTACCTCATTGACCTTGTCTCCTATAACTATCTTAAGGACATATTCACATATCCAGCCCACATGCTACCAGTGCTCCTGATTCTCCCTCCTCTGCTCTGCTTTGTCCAGAACACAGCTTGGCACACTGTGGGCACTCAGCAAGTATTTGGTACGTCAGTGAAGCAGTGTGGAACCACTGTGGCTGGCGTGCATGGATAAGGGGCAGAACCGAAGAACAAGGGGCCACATTGTGTAGGCAGGGGTTGTAGGCTAGGATTCTGACCACCTCTGGAAACGTCCTGAGGAAATGAAGTGTGACAGTCCCTCAGTCTTCCTAAGTTAGAAAGCTCTAGAGGAACTAAGTCTTCAGGCCAGGCAGTTGATTCACAGCCTGCCACCCTACTTCACATGATAAAGCTTCCTTATCTATCAGGGGCTGCCCAAAGATTGCCAATTCTTACAGCTCTCATCTAGCAGTACAACAAGCCAGTAGGGCCCTGTGGGTCTCAAATGACCGGCCGGAAGCCTGAGATTTGCTTTCACCTCTAGCTGTAGACCCCTAGATAAGTCACAGTTATTCCAAGGTCCCCAAGCTGGCAGTCCATGGACACAAACCACAGGCAAGTCTGTTCACCTAGACAGAATTTAGTGTTCTATGAATTTGTCACCAATGATGAAAAATTGGGAGTTTTCAACCCAAAATCTGGTTTCTCAAACCAGAGTTTGGATTTCTCTTTTCTGGTTGATAAATCAGAAGATCTAGAGATACCAAACTGCACTCCTACTGGGCCAGCAACTTATCAGAGTTGAAAAGCAACAGAGTTGAGAAGTAGCTTCTCCCTTTCAATGAGCACTTACTTTTCATTCTGCAACTCTCATCACTCTTTATTCTGACACTGACAACTGGACTACTTTATTCATTAACCCGTCTGATTCCTGAAGACTTTTAAATCTGCAAATCCTACCTTACCCATTCACACTTCATATCCCTGAACAAGGTTCCAAATCTGATAGAATGATGGTGGCGCAAGTGTGTTCAGAAAGCTACATGAAATGAACAATCTCATAGGAGAAAATAAAATAAATAGGTAGAACTGTAAAAGATAAAATAAAATAAACGGATATAAACTTTAAAAAGATACATACATGTTGCCCATGCAGCAATGGCTCTTTTCAAGAACTTTTCTAAGGAGATGATCAGATACGGGACAAAGATTTAGGTACACAGACATCTATTAGAGCATTATCTCTAACAGAAGTAGGTGGACTACTGCCTGGGGCATGCCGCCCATTTTTGTCAATAAGGTTTTATTGGAAAACATCCATACTTTCATTTAAGTATAGTCTATGGCTGCTTTCAAGCTATAACAGTACAAGAGCATAGTTGAGTAATGGACCCGACGGCCCCAAAAGTCTAAAACACTCTGTTTTTTATAGATAAAGTTTTTCAGCCATTAATTTCTAATAAAAAAATTGAAAACAAATATCTCATAGGCCATGGATTCAATTAATTATAAGGAAGCCATATAGTTCAGGCTTTCAGCCTCAGCACTATTGACACTGGAGCCAGATACTGCTTTGTTGTGGGGGTGATGTGTGAACTGCCTGCTGTCTCCCAGCATCCCTAATCTATACCCATTAGATGCCAAGTAACACAGCATGTCCCACTCCAGTTATGACAACCAAAACTGGCTCCAAACATTGCTAAATGCCTCCTGGGGACAAAACAGCCCTCAGTTGAGAACCACTACATATAAATGGATCCTATGCAGTCATTACAATCCACATTTTATCTAACAATTTTTTGTTTATTTCTTGTCTAGTACACTACATTGAATTTCATATATCAAATTTATTTTTTTTTTTACTTTAAGTTCTGGGATACATGTGCAGAACGTGCAGGTTTGTTACATAGGTATACATTTGCCATGGCGGTTTGCTGCACCTGTCAACCCGTCATCTAGGTTTTAAGCCCCACATGCATTAGGTATTTGTCCTAATGCTCTCCCTGCCCTTGTCCCCCACCCCTCAACAGGCTCCGGTGTGTGATGTTCCCCTCCCTGTGTCCATGTGTTCTCATTGTTCAACTCCCACGTATGAATGAGAACATGTGGTGTTTGGTTTTCCGTTACTGTGTTAATCTAACAATATTTAATGAGACGGAAAGTTCATTAATGTAAATGGGAACATAAAGCAGGTTAAAAACACTATACATGCTGCTATCCAAAATTGATTTTTAAATGCTATTTATATATATGCAAAGCCAAAAAAAAAAACTAATGACAAATTACTCGGTCAAGTCTCAACAATGACTATTCCCGAGCGATAAATTCTCAGTGATTGTTATTTTATTATTTTCTATAATGTACATGACACTGATTTTGTAATTTAAACAAGCTAGACATTCCATGAGAATGAAAGCCTACAGATCTGGACAAATGAAAATATATTCAGGCAGAATTCCTCTACTGAAAATTTTGCAAGCAACAAATAAACCCATGAAGGGGTTACACAATGGTGAAATTCGCCTTGTTTCAACTTTTTCTTGAACTGTTTGATCAGATGGAGAGGACTTTGTTTTTTCTGAAATTTTTGGTCTAACATTCAAGCTTGTACAGTTTGCATTTGTATAATATTTGACACATTTTTATGGTTTTTCCAAAGGCCACAATTACGTGGTTCAATAGTGCCTTTATAATGGCCCATTGTCAGGACCGTCCAGATCCCCCCCACCATGGGAGCTGCGAGTGCAGCATTCCACATGCTAGAACTTTTCCACGTGCCCCAGTTTAGCCCTGCCTCAGAATCGCAGACGTCTTTTTGTTGTACCATTTCCCCCCTCAAATGCCCCCATTGTTTGCAGTTTATCGGGTATTAGAGATGATTACAGCACAGGCAGAACAACTCCTTCTCATAAGTACCGACACTCTTAAGAAACTGGCAGTGGTCAAGTTTGTCAGAGATGAAAACATTGCCTTGGGCCTAAGCAAAAGGTCAGAAAGCCCCTAGGCAGAGATGAGAGCTGCTGAATGCTACTGGTTTGAAGGTCAAGCCCACATGAGCTAAAAACTGTCAAAAAGCAGCCATCTCCTAATAACACAACTTCAGGATCTATATCATGAGACTGAGGGTCCTTCTGGTTTTTGAGAAACTGCATTGGCTTGGGAAATTCTTAAAACTTGCCTTATAGATTATGTTATGATGAAGTTCCAGATTGGAATTAACCTCACCAACAACAGCAGCAGCTCGGCAGTGCTTTCCGACTGGGGCATGCACTGTGCTGAGAGCTTCGCATGCAGGTTTAATGTAACCATCCCCACTTAACAAACCATTCATTCATTCAACCAGGATTTACTCAGCACTCATCTAGGTGCTGAAGACTGAGCAGCAACTAAAGCACAGGCCCTGATTGCATGAAAATCATATTTAAGGTGGGGAAGCAGAGACAAACACAGAGTAATGAACCAACAAAGGAATAAGAATCTCATACAATGAGAAGTGCAATGCAGACAGTAAAAGAGAAAAAAAGGCCATTGCAACAAAGCTATTCTAGAAGCAACAAGTTGGGTGGAACCTCAATGATGAGAAGCCAGCTATGGTGAGGTACAGAAGAGATCAGATACTGAGGTAGGAAGCAGCCCAGCATATTGGATGAATAAGGACAAGATCAACAACCACAGAGCCAGCACTTTTGGAGTACTGACAAGGTCAGTGAGAGCCCTGAAAAGAATGTCTGGGCCAGATGTTGTAGGGCTTTGCAGGCCATTGAAAGGAATTTGATTTTTATTCTCTACTACTTGTAAGAAGCCATTGAGATGTTTTAATAAAGAGAATCAACATGATCTGATGAACACTTTGAAAATGCCCTTGGCTTCTTCTTGGCTTGCACTAAGTCTAATTTAAAAACAGCATAAACATTAAGAGACTTTCTTATATAATGCTCTGAAATGCCTCACGCCACCATGAAGAAGTTGTTATAAATGGTGCACACAGCTATAAAATACTCCACGTATGCCTGCTTGGGACACACAGCTAAGAATACGACCCACTGTCAGAGTAAAATGGAGAGATGCAGTTTAGTATTGTTAAACATCTGAATGGAATTTCAAATAGATCTGAGTTCAAATCCTGGGCAAGTTGCTTAAATGCTTTGGACCTCAGTTTTCTGTTTACAAAATGGGCTCATGGATCCTACCTACCTAATAGTTGCTGGAGATGCTGATAAGCTTAAGTGATGAGATGCATGAAAAGTACTTGGCACATAGTAAATGCTCAGTAAATAAATAATGTTCTCTATGATTGTTCACCTTGGAATTTTTGCTTTCACATCCAAGTGGATTAGTGTTAAATCATATAGCTCACAATCTCAAAAAAAATATAAAGCCACCAAGAAGGAGACGAGAGGACTTTAAAAGATGAAGGAAATATTCAGCCTCTTTCCTGTATCCTTTTATCTTTTTCTCTTTAGCTAACTCAAATATCATAGATGGATTGTGAGAGTAAGAGAAAAAGGGGAAAAACATGAACGTTAGAGCTGGGACACTTGCAGGCCACAGTCTCATACAGAAGGCTTTCGTGACATCTTTCCTCTCATACTTCCAAATGAGCTGGATCAGTCAGTGGTTCTCTTTAACTGGGTTTTAGGGAAATTGTAAATTCCTGAAAATTGTAAGCAAACTTTGACTGTACATTTTTCTGGGGAGAGGTTGAACAAACTACGAGACAGATTTAAAGATGAAATTATGTCTAGGATTTGCAAGTTAGAGGGAGGTATCCGTGAAACAGGATGAGCCGAGTCAATAACTCTCGAAGCTGGGTGATGGGTTACGCGAAGGGTTCATTCTATTATTCACTCTGCTTTCGTATAAATTTGAGACAACCTGTACATATTCACACAGTGCACACATATTTATGTATTTGATATTTTATTTTTATGTATTTATGTCCTCTTTCTCCATAAAAGGAAAAGTGTTATGGTAGCATGTTTACTAAGCAAGCACTTAGCACACCTATCAGCCTATTGCAAGTATCAAATATCTGCTTTTTAGCTTGCTATTCTGGACCTTCACCAGCAATTTTCTTCTAAGAGATCTGACTTGGTGTTGCATGAATTGATTATGGATTCAGGAGGATTCCTGTGATTCTTCTGTGGCGTTGCTGGCACGAGAACTCAGAGAAACATCTTGTTAACTAGCAAAATAAGCTGGATTTGCCCATGGAGTGCTCTCATTGATCTAATCAGGAATGTGTGTTTTAGCCACAAATGAAACATTTTTTAAAAAACTTGTGCAGGGGATACAGAACTGAATTCATATTGACCTTTTCAGATCAAAAAAATCATGACTACCTCTTTCAAACAAATTGGCCAATGATCTACATGGATGTCATCTAAAACACGTAATCAACTGAAACTTAAGCTTACATAGGTATTTAGGCAGAGCTTTATTTTTCCTCACTATAAAAAGTACTTTGCCAAAAAAAAACAAACAAAAACCTATGACTTATCATACTCTACAAAGCAAATTCTCAGAGATTTAAAATTTTTTGAAAATCTATAAAAATCTGTAAAGGGAGGACACACCTATACCAGGCCAATATATGTGGTTTGGATAGTCCCATTTGGATTTGTGTGATAAAAATAATGGATAATGCATATAAAGAGGAAGAGGATAGACTACTTCTTTGGAGAATATAGGTAGGAATTTTAAAGGAGGTAGGAAAATGGGAAGATATAGAGACTCCTCATAATTAGGAGAAGAATTAAAAAGTGAAAATAGGCTAGGTGTGGTGACTCATGCCTGTAATCCCAGCACTCTGGGAGGCCAAGGCAGGCCGATCACTTCAGGCCAACATGGTGAAACCCCATCTCTACTAAAAATACAAAAATTAGCCTGGTGTGGTGGTGTGTGCCTGCAGTCCCAGCTACTCAGGAGGCTGAGGCAGGAGAATTGATTGAACCCGGGAGGCAGAGGTTGCAATGAGCCAAGATCGCATCAATGCATTCCAGCCTAGGTGACAGAGCAAGACTCCATCTCCAAAAGAAAGAAAATAAAGCAATTACTGAGTGCTATGTTACAGGTAGTTTTTCTGAAAGTTTTCAATGGATTCACTTATTTAATCCTCATTACAATCCTACGAAGTAGCAGATGTTATTATCCCCATTTTCAGCATGAGGAAATTGAGGCTTACTCCTAATCACTTTATGAAACACTACCAAACTATGAGTTATTTACAGGATTCATATTTTCAACGGAATTATTTCTGCTTTTGAAACTGTTCAGAGGGCCTATGTAATCACTATTTCTTCTGAGTATTTGTTTTTGTGCTTTATTATAAATAAGGCTTCTCCTGAGAATTTGGTCCCCCGCTGGGTGGACACTGTTGTTAAACCAAAACGCTACCCAATTCCAAAGTGAACAGAATCAGCCCCTCAAGCCAGCAACGGGTCAACAAGGACAGGACCTAACAACGGAGAAAGTCAATATGGACATTTGTTCTGGGAAAACTGCCTTAGGACTTTGACTAATTTAAGGGTTGAGGGTTTGTTTCTTTCTTTCTTTCTTTGTGAGAAGGATGAGATGAGGGGGCTGGTCAGTCAGCAAACAAACAATCTTCCAGACTCAATGGCAATTTTTGTTAACCAAAGGCATCTCAGTATCATGAGATTTGTAAAGGAAAGGTTAAAATACTGTATGATATAGTAATGTCTTTTATAAGAAAGAAAATAGGCCACTGTATCACTGAAGTACCAGTTGTTACGTACTCAGTTGTGAAGCAGTAACAAAAACGGGAAGAAGAGAAATGTCAAGACTGCCCTTTTGTTAAAAACCCACTATATTATGTGGCTTGGATAAAAACAAAAACTAAAAAGCAATGGCGGCCGGGTGTGGTGGCTCACTCCTGTAATCCCAGCACTTTGGGAGGCCAAGGCAGGTGGATCACAACGTCAAGAGATCGAGACCATCCTGGCCAACATGGTGAAACCCTAACTTTACTAAAAATATAAAAATTAGCTGGGTGTGGTGGCATATGCCTGTAGTCCCAGCTACTTGGGAGGCTGAGGCAGGAGAATCACCTGAACCCAGGAGGCAGAGGCTGCAGTGAGCTGAGATTGTGCCACCGCACTCCAGCCTGGCGACAGAGTGAGACTCCGTCTGAAAAAAAAAGCAATGGCATAGTCAATCCTCAAATCTCTATATATTGTGTGGTAGACAGAAAAGAAAGCGAGACCTCAACATGAAAGAAAATACTTCATTTCTATCATCAAGGGGCTTACAACCCAAGGGTTAGGTGGGGGAAACAGGGAGAGTAACCCACACAGAAATTTACAGTAAGGTGCTCCTGCCTATTAAGATGGGAGCTCTCAACTGTACAGGCAGTTTTGCCCTTCAAGGAATTTTAGGCAATGTCTGGAGATACTTTTGGTTGTCATAACTATGTGAGGAGGGGGTGCTACTACCGGCATCCAGTATGCGAGAGTCCAGCGGTGATGCTAAACATCCTACGATGCACAAGACAGCCTTTCAAAACAAAGACTCTTTCGTCCCAGTGTTAATAATGCCACAGTGTAGAAATCCTATCCTAGAAGAGGCTGTGCCAATTTCCTTCCCGACTCCTTTCAGTGGCAGATTTCAGAAAAGGCACAGAAACTAGTCAAGCCCCAGGAATGGCACAGGTATCTCATGAACTATTGACATGCTTCCTTCTTATATCTGATATTCACAGTTATCAAGAGTTATTTCACATCTTGTCTTGACATGCAAAGGAGATGTTTCTAGCTAATTGGAGGGTGCAGGAAACGTCATCTTCACTGTAAATAGCCTAATTCAATACTCAAGAATTCATACTGATTTGAGTTCTGGACAGTCAGATGGACAGGAAAAGCTATGCTATAAATCAAGAACGATCAATTCAACACAATAATGATAAACTATGCCCTAAAACTATATAGAATGAAGCTGAACAATTCTAATGTTTCAAAAAGCACACTAGGAATCTGCTTTTGGTGTTTCTGAGTCATTCCGAACATCAACTATGAGTGCATTATTGATATCTGAGAGTGTCACTTAAAAGTCTCTTATGTCTGATAAAATAGTAAATAAAGGAACGTTACTATACTTGCAAACAAAACCAGAAGTTGGCTAATGCTTAGCTTACAATAAGCTTACGGAGTTTCACATATAGCCTCCTTACTCTCCCAAATTCTCCATGATAAAACAGCAAATCAGCCGGGTGCAGTGGCTCACGCCTGTAATCCCAGCACTTTGGGAGGCCGAGGCAGATGGACTGCCTGAGGTTAGGTGTCCGAGACCAGTGTCTGGCCAACATGGTGAAACCCTGTCTCTACTAAAACTACAAAAAAATTATCTGGGCATGGTGGCGTGTGCCTGTAATCCCAGCTACTTGGGAGGCTGAGGCAGGGGAATTGCTTGAACCAGGGAGGTGGAGGTTGCAGTGAGCCGAGGTCGAGCCACTGCACTCCAGCCTGGGCAACAGAGTGAGACTCTGTCTTGTAGGGACCAGCCCCACAGGGTCGGTGGGTCTCTCCCCGTGTGCAGTGACGAGAGAGTGTAGAAATAAAGACACAAGACAAAGAGATAAAAGAAAAGACAGCTGGGCCCGGGGAACCACTACCACAAATGCGCGGAGACCGGTAGTGGCCCCGAATGTCTGGCTGCACTGTTATTTATTGGATACAAAGCAAAAGGGGCAGGGTAAAGAGTGTGAGTCATCTCCAATGATAGGTAAGGTCACATGGGTCACGTGTCCACTGGACAGGGAGCCCTTCCCTGCCTGGCAGCTGAGGCAGAGAGGGAGAGGAGACAGAGAGAAAGACAGCTTACGCCATTATTTCTGCATATCAGAGACTATTATTACTTTCACTAATTTACTACTGCTATCTAGAAGGCAGAGCCAGGTGTACAGGATGGAACATGAAGGCGGACTAGGAGTGTGACCACCGAAGCACAGCATCACAGGGAGATGGTTAGGCCTCCGGAAAACCACGGGCAAGCCTGACTGATGTCAGGCCCTCCACAAGAGGTGGAGGAGCAGAGTCTTCTCTAAACTCCCCCGGGGAAAAGGAGACTCCCTTTCCCTGTCTGCTAAGTAGTGGGTGTTGTTCCTTGACACTTTCCGCTACCGCTAGACCACGGGTCCGCCTGGCAACGGGCATCTTCCCAGATGCTGGCATCACCGCTAGACCAAGGAGCCCTCTGGTGGCCCTGTCTGGGCATAACAGAAGGCTCGCACTCTTGTCTTCTGGTCACACCTCACTAAGTCCCCTCAGCTCCTATCTCTGTATGGCCTGGTTTTTCCTAGGTTATGATTACAGAGAGAGGATTATTATAATATTGGAATAAAAAGTAATTGCTACAAACTAATGATTAATGATATTCATATATAATCATATCTAAGATCTATATCTGGTATAACTATTCTTGTTTTATATTTTATTATACTGGAACAGCTGGTGTCCTCGGTCTCTTGCCTTGGCGCCTGGGTGGCTTGCTGCCCACACTGTCTGAAAACAACAACAGCAGCAGCAACAATAACAACAAAAAACAGCAACAAAAAAAAACCCCAGCAAATAATTTTTCATCTGTTCATTTCCTACATTTTGAAAAGTTATTTCTTTCCAATCTATTTTTTAAACTTTCCAAAGTCATTTGTTCATAATTTTATAAATAACCCCAGACTTTTATTTTCTAATTGCTCTTCAAGTATTATAGAAGTGTGCCAAATGCTCTCAGAGATGGGGCAAGAGGCACATTGTGCTATTCTTTTGTATTTATTAGAAATTTTCCATAATAAAGAGTTAGAAGGAAAGGAAAAAGTATAGTTTTTAGATATATACACACACATGCACATACATGCACAAATGTTGTCTTGGGGGTTTACAAAAAAAAATTTAATCCTAATGCTTCAATGGCAAATTCTTTGCAGTTTTAAAGATTCTAGATCGTTTTATTTTATTATTTGCCTCCCTACAAAACTATCTGCAAACCACTTAGAAAAACAAAACAAAACAAAAGCTACAGTAGTAGAAATAGCATTAAATTAAACAAGATTGTTCCTACAAAGTTCTTGTCTCAAATGATACCCATGACAAATAAGTGCAGACCCAAATGATCTTAAATGGACTTAAATGGGCTCTTACTTTTAGCAAAATGGCAAGTGGTTTCAATCGCCAAACTGAAGCTTCCTTGTATTATGTATATTATTTAATTAACACTTTGGAAAATGCACTGTGGTGGCTGAATTTAAGTGTTTTCTTCTCCCCGTTTTGGTATTGAAATATGGGATGATGCAGTTATACCTTTACCACTGAATATGCTTAGAAAGTCAACCTTGGATGTAAAAGAGAACGAGCGAGAAGAGACAGAGAAAGATTTCTTGAAATAATAGAAATGACTATGGAAAAACATAACAAAAGGCTAAATAATGCAAAATTTTTTATTCTTTTTCCCTAATATAGAACATGATTATTTACTTAACAACAAGCCATGCCATTTTCCATATTCAAAATAGTTATTGGAGAGTATGAGAATAAGTTGTAACAATTCTCACCCTCTCCCTTCAGAGAAAAGAAAATAAGAGAGGAAGGTTAACTTTTATTGAGCATCTCTTATATACAAAGCATAATGCTCAAGCCTTTTCATACATTAATATTTCTTGATGCTCACAATGAATGTAAGTGCTACCACTAGTCTCACTTCACAGATGAGGAAACTGAGGGCAGAGGGTTACATAACTAGCTTGATGTGACTTGCCTGCTTTCATATAACCAGAGATCTGAACCCTGATGTGCTGGACTCCAAACCAACCAAATATGCAGGATGCATCGTGGCTTCATTTCTCAGAGGTAATCAATGCACTGCTATCAGTGATATGGCAAACATACTTATTTTAAAAGTCCCAAAATTGTTGTCACAAAAAGGAACATACGAGAGAAAAAACACCAAGGAAATTTTATTGAATTCATCTTGTCATCCTTAATACCAGGAAAAGACACCAATTTTATTACTTTCCTTATTAAAAATATAATGTGGGCCAGGCGTGGTGACTCACACCTGTAATCCTAGCACTGTGGGAGGCTGAGGCAGGCAGATCACTTGAGGTCAGAAGTTCGAGACTAGCCTGGCCAACATGGCGAAAACAAAAAATTTAGCGAGGCATGGTGGTGAACTCCTGTAATCCCAGCTACTCAGGAGGCTGAGGCACAGGAATCACTTGAACCCGGGAGGTGGAGGTTGTAGTGAGCAGAGACCATGTCACTGCACTCCAGCCTGGGTGACAGAGTGAGACTGTGTCTCAACAAAAACAAAAACAAAACCCCAAAACCCATAATGTACATGACTGGAGAAAATTTAGAGAAAAGGATGAGCAAAAGGAAGGAACAACATATAACAATCCCATGCTGAGAAAAAAACTCTGACAACATTATGGTATTTGTCTTTCTATTGATCAAAGTGGAATTTTAATGTGGTCCCCAACCATGCTAGCAGAACTGGAGCAAAAGTTGTCTTATTCAAAAACAAAAACAAAAACAAAAACAAAAAACAGTCTCTATCTTTTCTAAAGGAGGATCTATACATATCCCTAAGACATAAAATGTACCAACCAACCTGCCCACCAAGATCCTGAAAGATTATGTCTGGTTTAACCTCTGAGAGTACAGTTCAGATCTGGATTATTAATTTAAATTACATTTTACGATTCTTGACTCTTTACATGTTGTAGGATCCCAATTCCAGGGAATACTTGCAGCTACAAATAGCCCTTTGCTAGATTCCAAGGGATAGAAATGGAATCATCAGTGGGAAGAAGAATATAAGGAATGTTATATAAGGAGAGATTTAATGCTGAAAAACCCTATGCTTTTCCCCAAGCCTTCTGATTTTGCTACACTAATTCCTCTTCAGCACCATACCATGAATGAACCACCCTCATCTAAGAGCAGAATCATAAGCCAGGCTGACTTTAAGGGCTAAAGATGTCAAAAAAAAAAAAAAAAAAAAAGGAGGCAACTGTATCAAGTCAAATATCATCATATTTTCATATTTCAAAGTCAGGGATGGTAACCAATACCTAAGAATTTCCCAGTCCCAAGTCCTCAAACCATGCATACTAACCTTAATGCCAGTAACTTAAATATGCACAAAAGAGACTTTTCGGTCATTATTCCCAGAACCAGTCTATTGTGATTTTTCAGATACACCCACACACATCCATTTCCAGACTATAATATCACCTGCTCGATTTAAGCCTCTAAATGTCAGGTCAGATGTCCTTCTTGTTTTTCTTGTTTTTATACCCTGTTACTTAATATGCTGCCCATCATGCACTGGACATATAATATGGACACTTAGTGTCCAACATGTACTAGACATGCACTAAACATATGTCAAATGAACAAGCAACAATACCAGAATCTTACAGGAGACAGAAGGTATTCTAAATATTAAAAATGGTAGACTGGCAGATTTACCAAGGGGCTAACTAATACACCATGATGTGTTTATTTTATGATAATATCACTTAATTCTACAAGAATCCACTTGTAAATACCGTAACTGACTCACAACATCCAAGGTAAGGAAAATATTCTGATATATGTAATCGTGATGAAATCGAAACTTTTTACTTTAAAAAATATTGAGGTCAGTGTTAACAGTCATATGACAGTCATAAGTTTATTATGATGTGCATCATATTACCTTGTTTAGATACAGGATATTTATTATTAGGTCATTTATTTGTTTTCCTAGTATTAAATTAAAAAGCAGTACTTTTTAGTAAATATTTGCTTAACAAACATAGCTTGCCTACATAAAATGTTTAAAATTTTTTAAACAATCCCAAATTTAACTCACTCAATTCCGAACTTGTAAAATTTCACATCAAAAGGAGGACTGTGTTTGTGTTTAAGTCAATTAAGGAAAGGTATAAATCAAGTATACTAATTTTATTATTAAAGACTCAAGGGTTGATAAGATTTCCTTCTGGGTTCTGAAGCCCCAAATACAACATTCAGATGCCAAAGCTTTAGATGTGAACACGTTCATAAAATTATTTTTCAAAATAATGAAAATTTATCAGTAATCTCTGACATTAGAAGAATGGCAAAATAAGTCAGTTTATTTGAATTATTATGTGATTATTTAAAATGATATATGTGTATATAGCAACATAAAAAAAGACACTGAAAATAAAATGCAGATGTAAAAGTATAAAATCTATGATTGCACAAATGTAAAAACATATGAATAGGAAAAAGACTGGGATAATTTTATTTTAAAATAGTTTTGTATCAGAACAATGGAATATGATGATGTTTTCATGTTTTCTGCCTTTCAAACTTTCTAGCATAATTATTGTAATAACAATTTGGCAATTGCTTTGGCTGCAGAATCATCCTCCTACTCTAGAAATGAGAAAATGCAGGTGTTCCTTTGCCAGCCTCCCTTGCAGCTAGGGAATGAACATGTGACTGAGGATCCACCAATCAGGTGTTCTGCACTGGACTCAGGTGTTAGAGATAAAGGATAAGGAAAAGGAACAGGGACCACAGGGAGTGGGCAAGGCTGTGGGAAGACTGAATTATTGGTGCAATAGAAACAGAGAAGCAGGCTTCCATTGCTCTCCAGACCAATTCTGCAGTGTGTTAGAGGTACTGCTCCCGGTTCCAAGCCTGGTCTTCTTACTGCCTAGCAACTCAGCAGGTAACCCAATACCCTGTCAATAAATTCATTTTCTTTCAAAATTAACAAAAGTTGCTTATTGTTGCTAGCTATTAAAAACTCTGACATAGGGTTATGGTTTTATTAATCCTGTAAATACAGGCATTAGGTTATAAATATATATATTTTAAATAGGTACATATTTAAATATATATAAATATTTGTACATACAAATATATATATGAAGTGGCAATATCATTCATTAATTTTCATGTATTAGGATTTCTTTATACAAACAAGAATTGTGTGGTATGATTCATTTTTATTATGCTTATGATATATATTCTTGTGTTTAAAGGAAATCTATTATAGACTCTGGTTTAGAAAATAATTTTATAATACAGAAAATCTCAAATGAATGGATTCTCTTAGATTTCTTCCCATTGGAAATCACTGCAATGAGATTCTAACATTTTTCTCTAGGCTGTATCTTACAATCAAATGTAATATGTGGAGACAGGTAGTATCTCTACTGAGCTTTAGAGAAAAGTGTGATTGATTTATTATGCTTAATAACTATCTCTGAATCTACGTAGTATTGCACAGTGATTGACCTACAGAACACAAGGGTTCCTTGTGACATAAAGGAATACACTTCTCGTAAGGTGTTTACATTTCATTAGAACCTATGAAGAACCTACTAAACTACGTTTTATATCTCCCCCTTGTGCTTAGTGGAATACATTACTCATGGCAGACATTTAATAAATATCTATTCAAATCCTGACTTTATATGAACTGTCCTGAATTGCTTATTATTTTTAAAGGTGGAGCCCTCCACTTCCTCTGGAATATATCTGTAGAGTATAATGGCCTTAACTGCTAAAGGAAAAAAGTCAGACAAAATGAGGTCATGGGTTGCAAAGGAAGAAGTCAGGCTCAGGATTCCTCTTCTTAATCTCCTATTTTAACAACCAGGCAACTAACACAGCCCATCCCCCTGAAGAACTACCCAGCCCTTGGCAATCACCCTTTCTCGAGTACTTACTCATCCAACACCGCACAATGATGACATCAGCCCAGTGCTCCAGGGGGGGACAGGTAGGTGTCACTACTGCCAACTCACAAGTAGATGAAGTATCCCAAGCCAGAAGAAGCAATAATTTGTGCAAGTACAGACAATAACTGCACGATGAAGTGGCAGGTTCATCTCCTGGGGAGTTTTCCCAGCATGACCCAATTGAAATATCCTCTTCTGAAATATAAAACCGTTCCTCAAAAACAGAGTTGTTCAGGCTGGGTGTGGTGGCTCATGCCTGTAATCCCAGCACTTTGGGAGGCCGAGGGAGGCGGATCACCTGAGGTCAAGAGTTCAAGACCAGCCTGGCCAACATGGTGAAACCCTGTCTCTACTAAAAATACAAAAATTAGCCAGTTGTGGTGGCATGTGCCTGTAATTCCAGCTACTCAAAAGGCTGAGGCAGGAGAATCTCTTGAACCCGGGAGGCAGAGGTTGCAGTGAGCCAAGATCACACCATTGTACTCCAGCCTGGGTGACAAAGTGAGACTCCAACTCAAAAAACAAACAAACAAAAAAGTTCCATTCTAATAGCATGATTTAATGGGTATATGAACTATGTGTGTGTGACTGTTTGCCTGTCTAGCAAAGAGGCAGTAGAGGAAGGCAACCACAGCAGAAATAAATGGAAAAGCCCATGAAAACAACTTCTACTGAGAATAAGCATTTTGTTAATTCACATTTCAAAAAGGAAGAAAATTCCCCTTCTCATTTGAAGTGCCATAATCCATTGTGTCACAGTTAATAAAAAGCACTATATCAAATCTAGACTGCATTTCTGAAAGCCTGTTACAGCTTTATATCATCTTGAATATGGGAAGGTTGAGTAGGCATCACCACCAAAACAATTCAAGGGCCTTCGTTTTATCATGCTATTAATACGTTCGTTAGGATGATGTAAAATCACTGGCCTAGTTTACACACCCATGCAACCAGGGAACTACCTGGCTCTCCCTTCCTGTCCAATGAGCTGTGCTATTATTTATATCTGAAAAGAGTAGACTGCACCATCATAAATGAGATGCAGTCAATCACTATGTGTGATGATCAGGCACCTCAAGGGCTGAAATCTGAGTCACCTTCATGCAAACTCAACTGTGCACCATTGTCACTGCTCCATTACCTCAGGTTTCTTTGGAGTCTTAGAAAAACCTTAGATTACTAAAAAGGCAAATGAGATCTCTCAAGGAAGAATTCATCTCCTAAAGAAAAATAGTGGTATAAAACATGAAATGCAATACATGACGTGCTTCCTTCATATCTTTAGGTGGAAGTGTCATTCAGACATCAGTAATACTACTAACACTGTACATTAAAAATGAGAAAACAAGCTCATCAAAAAATCCCAAAAGAATAAAGACAAATATAAACAAATACAAAAAGCCCCCACTCCCTACTCTCTCTTATCTCTACTCTTTAATTAATTTAAGAGTTTACATGCATTCTCTGCTTTATTTATAGGCTAATTCAAATAGAATTAAATAAAATATAATTATATATCTATATACATCCATTCAAAACAAACATCTGGTTACATGATACATATTTTTCTGCCGCTTGCTTTTTAAATAATAATAATATATCCTAGACAACTTTCCATGTCAACACACCTAGATCTATCTTTCTTTTCAAAAGCAGCCACCAAATGTTCCATTTTATTACTAAAAATTTTAAATCATTCCCAGATTCAAAGGCATTTCTATTGTTCTCAATTTTCACTATGGTAAGTAATGCAGAATTGAATATTCTTGCATTATGAACATACTGGACCTTTATATAGGCTTTCTGGAGTGTGGGGTCTTTGAGGTAGAGGATAGTTGGCCAAAGAGACTGCCTGTTTTCCATGTTGAGAGATGCAGCCCAAATTCCTTGCAAAAAGCAATTCTGTTTATATTCTAACCAACAGAGGATCCAAGTGCCCATTCACCCACACTTTCCCCAACACTGACTCTAGCAGGTTTGTGAAGCTTTCTAACAATTTCTGTGTGTGGCTTATAGAATGATGATCATACTTTCTTTGGTAAATTGCATGAGGCTTGGCTTCAAAGAAATCATAGGCAAAGTTCCTGTCCTAAAAGATTATGATAGTATGAGGGAAAATACCAACAGAGATGACTAGAACATGTGCAAGCAAATACAGTGATGGCAAGTTTCTGATGAACACCTTGGTTGAGATGCGCCTCATTACTTTTATTTCCCTGAAAGTATTCCTTACCTTTTTTGTTAACTTTTAAAATTTGTGGTAAATGATAGAATAGTCATTGTTCTGTCTCCCAGAATGAAAAAAAACCAAAAATATTACCATGTTTGCTTTGTATTAAATATTGAAGACAACAATAAGCCCCATAAGTTCCCTGCTCTCCCTCCCCAGAGGCAACTATTACCCAGAATTTGATGTGTAGTCATCCAATCCATGTGTTTATGCTTTTGCAAGATAGCACCTATAACTTTGTGTGATTTTCTTCAAAAATTACATACTTGTTGACCATACATGTGCTTGAACAAACTTGCTTTTATCACTCAATATTTAGTTTCTGAGATCTATCCATGAAAAAACACACCCATCTAATTCATTTATTTTCTCTCCTTTATGATGTGCCATGTAATCTACTCCCTTATTGATGGGCATTTAGGTTGACTGCAGTTTGTTGCAATCACAGATAATGCTGCAGTGAACATCCCCATGTTTGTCTCCTTTATGGCTTCTGCAGGGTGTAAGCCCTGAGGTGGAATCATTAAATGGTAGGTTGCACACACTGGAAACTTTATTAAATATTGCCAAACTGTTCTTCAAGGTATTTGTACCATCTTTGCTCTCACTAGCAATGTATGAAGGTTCTGATTTCCTTTTCTCTCCAAACATACCATTATCAGGCTCTCTAAATTTTTCCAAGCTGATTGTAAAATACTATTTGTATCTGTGTATTACTTTAATGTGCAATTCCTTAGGTACAGATTGAATTTTTGTGAACTGTCTATGCATATTCTTTGCCTTCTTTCCCACCCCATTGTTTTCTTATTGATGTTCAGGAGTTCTTTATATATTCTAGGTACTAATCCTACACTTGTTATTTATGTTATCAATATGGTTCTCCTATTTATTACTTTTTATCAACTTTGTCTTTCTAATTAACACCATCTCCTGGAAGTGTGGTTAAAAACCTAACAGGAATTGCACACAGTGGTGCATGCCTGTTGTCCTGGCTACTGGGGAGGCAGAGGCAGGAGGATTGCTTGAGCCCAAGAGTCTGAGGCACAGTGTGCTATGATCATGTCACTTCACTCCTGCCTGGACAACATAGCAAGAGCCCATCTATACTGGTCCGTTTTCATGCTGCTGATAAAGACATACCTGAGATTGGGAAGAAAAAGAGGTTTAATTGGACTTACAGTTCCACACGGCCGGTGAGGCCTCAGAATGATGGTGGGAGGTGAAAGGCACTTCTTACATGGTGGCAGCAAGAGAAAATGAGGAAGAAGCAAAAGCAGAAACCCCTGATAAACCCATCAAATCTCATGAGATTTATTCACTATCATGAGAATAGCACGGGAAAGACTGGCCCCCCATGATTCAATTACCTCCCCCTGGGTCCCTGCCACAACATGTGGGAATTCTGGGAGATACAATTCAAGTTGAGATTTGGGTAGGGACAGAGCCAAACCATATCATTCCACCCCTGGCCCCTCCAAATCTCATGTCCTCACATTTCAAAACCAATCATGCCTTCCCAACAGGCTCTCAAAGTCTTAACTCATTTCAGCATTAACCCAAAAATCCACAGAAGGGACAAGGCAAGTCCCTTCTGCCTATGAGCCTGGAAAATCAAAAGCAATCTACTTACTTCCTAGCTACAATGGGGGTATAGGTACTGGGTAAATACAGCTGTTCCAAATGGGATAAATTGGCCAAAACAAAGCGGTTACAGGGCCCATGCAAGTGTGAAATCCAGCGGAGCAGTCAAGTCAAATTTTAAAGCTCCAAAATGATTTCCTTTGACTCCAAGTCTTACGTCCAGGTCATGCTGATGCAAAAGGTGGGTTCCTATGGTCTTGGGCAGCTCTGCCCCTGTGGCTTTGCAGGGTAGAGCCTCCCTCCTGACTGTTTTCATGGGCTGGCATTGAGTGTCTGAGGTTTTTCCAAGCTCACACTTCACGCTGTCAGTGGATCTACCATTCTGGGGTATGGAGGATAGTGGCCCTCTTCTCACAGCTCCACTAGGCAGTGTCCCACTAGGGACTCTATGTGGGGGCTCCAACCCCACATTTCTCTTCTGCACTGCCCTAGCAGAGGTTCTCCATGAGGGCCCCACCCCTATAGCAAACTTTTGCCTGAGCATCCAGGCATTTCCATACATCTTCTGAAATCTGGACAAAGGTTCCCAAACCTCAATTCCTGACTTCTCTGCACATGCAGGCTCAACACCACATGGAAGCTGCCAAGGTTTGGGGCCTCCAACCTCTGAAGCCATAGCCCAAGCTCTATGTTGGCCCCTTTCAGCCACAGTTGGAGAGGCTGGGACACAGGGCACCAAGTCCCTAGACTGCACACAGCACAGGGATTGTGCTGGGAATGGCACTTGGAACCACTTTTTCCTCCTGGGCCTCCAGGCCTGTGATGGGAAGGGCTGCCATGAAGGTCTCTGACATGGCCTGGAGACATTTTCCCCATGATCTTGGGGATTAACATTAGGCTCCTTGCTACTTATGCAAATTTCTGAAGCCAGCTTGAATTTCTCCTGAAAAAATGGGTTTTTCTTTTCTACTGCATCATCAGGCTGCAAATTTTCTGAACTTTTATGCTCTGTTTTCCTTTTAAAATGGAATGGTTTTAACAGCACCCAAAGTCACCTTTTGAATACTTTGCTGCTTAGAAATTTCTTCCGCCAGATACCCTAAATCATCTCTGTCAAGTTTCAAAGTTCCACAAATCTCTAGGGCAGGGAAAAATGCTGCCAGTCTATTTGCTAAAACATAACAAGAGTCACCTTTGCTCCAGTTCCCAACAAGTTCCTCATCTCCATCTGAGACCACCTCAGCCTGGGCCTTATTGTTCATATCACTATCAGAATTTTAGTCAAAGCCATTCAACAAGTGTCTTGGAGGTTCCAAACTTTCCCACATTTTTCTGTCTCCTTCCTAGCCCTCCAAACTGTTCCAACCTATGCCTGTTACACAATTCCAAAGTCGCTTCCACATTTTTGGGTATCGTTTCAGCAACACCCCACTCTGCTGGTACCAATTTACTCTATTAGTCCATTTTCACACTGCTGATAAAGACTTACCTGAGACTGGGAGGAAAAAGAGGTTTAATTGGATTTACAGTTCCACATGGCTGGGAAGGCCTCAGAATCATGGCAGGAGGTAAAAGGCACTTATATGGTGGTGGCAAGAGAAAATGAGGAGGAAGCAAAAACAGAAACCCCTGATAAACCCATCAGATCTCGTGAGACTTATCCATTCACTATCATGAGAACCACATGGGAAAGACCAGCCCTCATGATTCAATTACCAACCCCCCGGGTCCTTCCCACAACATGTGGGAATTCTGGGAGACACAATTCAAGTTGAGATTTGGTTGGGGACACAGCCAAGCCGTATCACCATGTCTTTAAAAAACAAACAAACAAAAAAACCTAATAGAACTTAGCAGCTGGTAAAGGAAATCACTATATCCTATAACTATAAGCATCAAAGATATTTTCTAAGGACTTATTTCACATAAATAAAACAAACATAAATAATCTCAACTTAAAAGCAAAACTGATAGGTGCAAAGGAACTAACCTTAATACAAATCTTAAAAGACTGTGTTAGCTCACGTAGGGACAAATATTCTCAGATTGTCACTTATTCCTTTCTTCTAACAAGAACAAAAATCCTAAGTGGAAGAATTACCAGATAAAAGGATATAAAAACCACTGAAGCTTCTGATGCATTTTGCCAAATTTTCTTATGGGAAAGTTGTACCTAATTTCATTATTACCAGTAGTGCTCATTCATCCCACATGTTCATCAAAGGTTGAATGGCAGTGTGGTAAACAAACCACAAATATCAATGTGGTAAAGAAACAAAAAAAAACTTACTATTATTTCCATATGATATTTAAAGAATAATGATTTCATTAAGTTTGTTGAAGTAAAACTATTTTTTGAATTGCCAAATTTAAAAAACTTCTACTCAGTACTTTTTAAAAAATGGGGCTGGTGTACAAAAAGAAAATATTAGTTTGAAAACTCCTGCCAAATAAAGGAGCGATAAATGATGTAGAAGAGTTTTTTTTTTATTGTTTTTGCTTTGTCTTTTTATTTCAATAGACAAAGCAGAAAATGGAAATTATTCTTCACTTTTCAACTGCATTGCAGACCAGGAGAGACATTCCTACACCCAAGGGGAGCACAGCTCCTTCTGGAATGTTTTCTCACTATGTAAAGTGGTACAAAACTGAATCACACCCCTAGAGTTAATTGGGTGGCCCAACCACTTTGAGAACATTTCTGTATCCTTCTGTCTCATGTATCCATCTAGATTCTATAGCAAGATCAAAAGGCAAAAGCCCCATAAGGTTTCCTGCAAAAGAGTTTTAGGGAAAAATAAAACAAAACAAACAACAACAAAAAAAGCTGGATATTTTGGTTTACTTCCCTCATTCTTGAAATGAAACTCTTAAAATAATAAATAAATAATTTCCTCTTCCTTTCAAAAAACCATTTGTAACACTTACTGTTTTTAAGCCTCTTCTGAGTCAACTTTAAGAAACTCTCTTTGAGCCCAGCAGAATATGATTTTCTTGTGTTCACAGAGAAAACTGCTTATTCTCAAGAGCAATTACTGTGTTTTGGAGCTTAGCCCTCATACACTTAAAATGTCCGTGAAGAGGTGACTGGTCTGAGGAAAGCCTCAGACTACTGAAAAAGAGAGCCAATGATCTAAGCTTAGGTAAAGCAGATGGTCTACCCAGACTTAACAGTGCTCAAAATTACCAGGGATAGACAGGTCAGGCCTCCTGCCTGAAATCAAGGGTGATTTCAAATACAAATTTTGGCACCATAATACAGGCCATTAGACCAGGATCTGAGGAGAATACTACCTCCTGCTTATGAAGTGATTTCATCTACATGATCTCAAAGTTGTCCATCATGAGTCTCTCCTCCAGTAGAATATAACTTTCATGAAGAAAGAGTTGTTTGTTCATTTGCTTGTTCTGCTGCAATATCCCTGGCACCTATAACAATGCCTGGTACATAGATATCCAATAGATTTGTGCTGAATTATACAATGAATAACTCGTTCATTTATTTATTCAACCAGTTTGACACACAGAGCCCCATCTCTAAAACCCACATGACTTTTTCATCCAGTGATTCAGAAGAAATCATAGACAGGAAAGTTTTGGACATAGAAAGTAGGAGTTCCAGAGCTCAATGGACGACTTACGTTATATTTCAAGTTTGAATCCCTTTCATTCTTTAGTACCAAAGGTACTGTAGCATAGCGATTAGGAACACAAGATTATGGAGGGAAAGGGGAGAGGATCAAACACTAGCTCTATTACTTCTGGTTGTGTAGCTTTGGGTAACTTGTTAAACCTTTCTTCAGGCAAAACAAGGATTTATGGTGCCTACCTCACATGGACAATGTAAGTACCACATAGGGCAATTTACATAAAGTATTTAGCAGAGTGACCAGCATATATTAAGTAGCCAATTAAAAAAAGCTGCTATTTTTGTTGTAGATGTGTGGTCAAAGAAGCAGAAAGGGAGTGCGTTGACAGCTCCTATTTTCATTCACATCCAACAGTCTATAGGTTGCTAGTCTCCATTCTAGATGCTCTCCATCTGGGCATATTACACAATAAACAAACAAAAACCAAATCATAGTCCTGGACAGATCCTACAATCCACTTCAGAATCTACCAGGGTTTAATTGGCCTTGTGACATGTACTGTGAAGTCACTTCCGAAGTGATAAATAACTACAGGATTAAAGACCATGTAAAATAAGACTTAGAAAATGTTAAAGATTATACAAGTACACTTGCATATAACTCATCCCTCTGCTATTTGGGAAAATTCTGAAATGCTTCAGATAAATCACCTTCAGAGAAAGATAACTAGTAGAATGACAAATCATGGCACTTATTAACCAAAGCAACAAAGCAAAGTTTCAGTTTTACCTCCAATGATTGACATCATATACACAACTATTTACTCATTATATAATATTTTACTACAAAAAACAACAAAAAACAATTTGGAGGTCAGACAATACTTGACTCCAAGACTTACTTGCTACACTAATCAAGAGAGTTTGGTATTGGTGTCAAGGAAGAAAAACAGACCAGGACAGAGATTCTAGAAATAGACCCACACATATAATCAACTGATTTCTGACAAACATACAAAGGCAATGAAAGGGAAAAAGGATAGTTTTTTCAACAAATGATGTTGGAACAATTGGTCATCCATATTTACAAAAAACCCTTCAATTCATGTTTTATAACTTATATAAAAATTAACTCAAAATGAATCATAAAACTTAAAACTATAACATTCTAAAAGAAAACATAGGTAAAATCCTTATGACCTTGGGTTAGGCAAAGAGTTCTTAAATATGACATTAAAAGTATGATTAATTTACAAAACCAATGAACTTGGTTTTATCAAAATTTAAAACTTCTGCTTTTCAAAAGACACTATTAATAGAATGGAAAGACATACCACAAACTGGGAGAAAATATTTGCAAAGCATATGATAGATCCAGAACAAATAAAGAACTCTCAAAACACAGACAAACAGCTCAGTTAAGAAACAGGCAAATGATTTGCACACACTTCACCAAAAGAAAATACGGAGATGGCAAATAAGCCCATGAGAAGATGCTCTACATCACCAGTCATTAGGGAAATGCAAATTTAAAAAAAAACACACAATGAGATAGTATTACACACCCATCAGTACATAAAGCTAACAAAAAATTTTAAAGTCTGACCATACCAAGTGTGGGAGAGGATATAAGGAAATAGAACTCTCATACATTGCTGGTGAGAATATAAATGACAAGACTACTTAGGAAAGCAAGTTTGGCACTTTCTCTAAAAGTTAAATATATGTCTACTATATGATTCAGCTGTTTCACTCCCAAATATTTACCCAGGAGAAATGAAAGAATGAATCCACACGAAGACCTGTACATAAATATTCATAGGAACTTTGTAATATTCTAAGACTGAAAAAAAAAAGCAAATGCTCATCAAGAGGGGAATGGATAAAAAAAACTGTGGTCTGCCTATATAAAAGAATACAGTTGGCAATATAAAGGAATGAGATATTGATACGTGCCACAAAATGGCTGAACTGCAAATTAATTATGCTGAGTGAAAGAAGCCAGGCCTCTCTCCCAAGAAACTACAAAAGGTATGAATCCATATTTTTTAAACTCTGGAAATTACAAACTCATCTATAGTGACACAAATCAAATCAGTGGTTGCCTGGGGACAAGGGGAGTAGGGCCAAGCTGGGAAGGAAGAAGGGGTTACAAAGAGGTACAAGGATATGTTAATTTTCTTGATTGTAGGGATCATTTCACAGAGGTATAATGTGTCTAAATTTATCAAATTATACACTTGGAACAAGTGTACTTTATTATATGCTAATTATGCTTCAATAAAACTTTTAAAAATAATAAGAAATAGCTATTATTGAAACTGTACTGTGAATGGGTTGCGCTAACATCTCCAACAATATGCATCATCTCACACTCCTACCAGCCTGTGAGCTGGGTACTCTTTATTCCCATTTTACAAAGGAGCAAAGAGAGAAAAATCTCACTTGTAGACTAAATTTTTTTTTTCTCTGTCTATGAACTCTGCATCCTACTGACTACTTAATATATACCTGGGACGGTCTTAAGAGCCAGGGGCCTGCAAGATGTAGAAGCCATGTGGTCCTACACATTACTTATGGTTTATAAGGGTGAAAATAACTAATGGGAATACAAAGGATACATTGATACAGACTATACATGGAATACAAGCCAAATTCTACGGAAGGAGTGAGTAGAGATTGGAGGAGAGAGAGGTAGAGGGACCAGGAGGGAAAACCTTGGGGCACTTCACATGGAAAGCAGTGTTTCAGTGGGTCTTATTGGGTGGGCAGGATTTGGCCAAGAATGGATAGAGACAGAAGGACAGACCAGTAGAAGACACACGGAAGAAATTATGTAGCATTTCTGTCACTATTTTTCATGCTAGTCAGTACCTGGTATGGGCAAATTCACAAAATCTAAATATGATCAAACATTTCAGTTCTCTCAGTCTTCAGTACGGTTAAATGGTAAGGCTGTTAAAATGTAGTGAAGCATCAATTTTTAAACTATCATTTATGTTTTGTCTCTTTTGTTCACTAGTGTATCCCCAGTGCCTAGTACCCTGCTTGGATAGTAAGTACTAAATAAGTATTTGTGAAATAAATGAATGGAAATCCCAGAGAGTGCAAAGGGAGGCAATAATTAATAAAAAAATTATGGGTGATACTGGTTCAAGCTAATCATGGCAATACCTTGTTTCTAGACGTGTTTATTCAGAATTTGTGGTAAAAATTATAGTAATAATACCAGCCACTGACATGTGTTGAGTGCTTACCATTTTTGATGCATGAGCATTATCTCATATAATCCTCCGACAACCCTATATTAGTATTAATGTTATTGCCTTTTTGCCAACGGGAAAAACAAAGGCTCTCAGAGGTTAAGTAATTTTGCTTCCAAGTCGCACATCCAGTGCATGGGAGCAGCAGAGTCAGAACCCAGGCAATCTGATCCCAGCACCTTCTGCTCACTTGCTGCCCAAACACCCACCATGCTGACGCAGAGTCAGAAGCTATGATTTCTAGAAGTGAGTTGGGTTTGTGAATTTTAGCTCCAGTAGATACTGGAAAAGACTAGTGAGTCTGAATTGGTTGGCAATTTAACAACACTCCTCTTGCTGATATTTTTTTTTAAAAAGGCCAAATTAAGAAAAAAGCCCCCAGTGACAAGGCTGTTGCTTGGCATAAGCAAAGAAATTAGCTGCCCTTAGAGAAGATGACCCTAGCTACCTCATGACCTAAGATATTTGTATGGTAATTAAACTGGATCTAGGCTCAATGCCTCCCCTGTCCACACTCTCTTACCTACACCACAGCAAGAACATCCATCTGCAAGATAGTTAGTCAGGCTCAGAAGAAGGTCTCAGGTCACAGAACAGAGGACAACCAATAGGCCAACTGAAAAATCATACCCATGACTTGAGCTCATTGATCTAATGTTCTAAACTAGGCTGTGCTTACCATCTGAAATAAACAGGGAGATTTTATAAAAATACAGATTACAAGGCCATTCCTATATTCTAGGACTAGACCTAGCTATTCTTATGTTTAAAACCTCACCAGAGCAGTCCAAAGATTAGCTAATTTGAAAATCACTATTCTCAATTACAAACTCAATCCACATCATAGAGAAAAATTGTTCTTATGATACACATTGCATTTTCATCTCTATGGTTTCATAATAATTAAAAATAAAACCCATAGATTGTGGTCTTTTTAATTCTCAAACTCTTTGAAGACTCAGAGATCATAGCTTACAACCTCTACAAACAACATTGAAATAATAAAACACGATAGAAAGTAGCATTATTGCATTCTTCTAATTACTGTATATTTTTATAAAACAAAAATAATACAAAGTAATTTAAAATTCAAAACCAAACCTATTTGGGTTTTTTTTTCTGCATTTTACCTTAAAAAAAAAGGCAGACATTAAAATGTTTCAGAGGTACTTCCCTAAATATCATGGGCTAACAATAACCAAGGCAAACGCAAGTTAATAACCAAGTCAAAGACAAAGAATTGAATGTGTTACCATCTCAGTGTCCCAGAGGTTATGGGTGTAACTAAAGACTGCACAGTAATTAAAAGTAGTATTTTTTGTCTGAAGATGAAACCAGCATTCTAATTTTTTAAAAAAGGAAAAAGAGCCTCAGGCTGGTTTTCAAAGGGTTCTATTCTATACCAGAATAACCTATGAGCTATCTATTTATCCCTTCATGTGGAGGAACATATAAATTATCCATGCAAACCCACTGGACAGCTAGGTCACTCAAACATAAGAATCAAAGGGTGAAGAATGAGTCATGAATTAAACTGCAATTTTATTTAAGAAGTATTTATGGAGTTTGTCATATGTCCTTGTAATATTTTAGGTGCTGGGGACCCAACAGTAAGCCAAATAGATATGTTTTCAGGAAGTTCAAAGCAAGCTTCAAGTATACATATATTTAGTATGGGGTTAGCTGTCATGGCCTTATTAATTTATGTAAATGGGAAAAATAAATAAGGATGCAAAAGAGATGATAAGGATTATTCATTACTGGAAAAAAAAAGAAAAACTAAACAAAGGATAATTACATAATATGAATGCAATTCTTCCTAATAGATACTATGACTCACATATAAAAAGTCTCAAGTCAACTCATGGTCACCTCTCCATTTTTATTTTCACCAAACATTAGGGACACAATCTAAAATTAAGGTTCCATCTCCACTGCCAGTTGGAGTGTGGCCACAGCTCAGTTGCCAATGCAAAGCAAACAGTTATAAAGCAAATCACATTACTACTACCCATTGCCCCAACTTTGCCTGACTAAGCCAGCTCCCTCTACTATCCCCATGTAGGCCCAGAATAGTGGACACTTTCCAATTGCAAGGGTGACACATGCTGGGAGAAATGGGTCCCTTAATTGCCTACACTACATGGACTCTTGATGACATAGGGAAGGGAGGCCATGCTCAGCACACGCTATGTCGTCAAGGCTCAAAGTACTGCCCAAGTCTTTCTGTGATCTCTGAATTAGACAGGGAGGGTTATTTTAAATGCTTGCTTTCAGAATTCGCCATATTAATTAATGTCATCATCTGGTTGCAATCTATGCAGAACTGTGGAGAGACTCGGAGGGGAGGACCAACTATTCTCGCTCTAATAGGTGATTAGACCATGTGCCACTGGGAGAAAAATAAGCAATAGGAAACTTCCATGGGCTCAGACTCTAGTCACTCTAAGTGCACTCTAACAAAATCTTAAAGAAAATTGAAGTGTGGGGATTGGGGGAGGGATAGGAGATGAACAGAAGGATAGAGTCAGGGTGACAGGGCTAAAAACTTGGGTTAAGTTTAAAGGATTATGCTTAAACCCATGAAAATTATCTAAATCTTGGCAAAATGGAAATAGTAAAAATTGTTATAAAAGGTAATTTTTAAAGCCAAAACACTTGCATTATTAACAACACACTATATTTAGGAAAAGGGCTCTAAATGAAGCTAAATACAACTAATTTTAACACTGATAGTAGCAAAGTTGACTTAAAATTTATCTTTTTTTTTTTTTTTTTTGAAAAATCACACTGGTTCGTTATCCCTGATTATTTGGTTAAAGGGCCATTCTTTTTATCTAGCTGGTCTAGGAGTGTACTGCTTGAAATTACAACCAAAAACCAAGTCATGGAAATATAAAAGGTTATACTGTAGCAACCTTCCTCCAAACTGCTCAATTCACTTAACACATACCTCATTCCATCCTCATAGGTTTTTTTTGTTTTGTTTTGTTTTTTAATTGAAAACACCGTTTCTGGGAAAATGAACATAGGACAGCTTCTGGTGCTCAAGGTGTGTTAAACCTATTTTTCCTCCCTGGCTATTACTTTTCCAGGTAAATTCTTCTGATTTTAATAGTTAACAAATGCAAGAATTTCATAAAGTACATAATATCTCTAAAATAGACATGGTATAATCACTACTCTATCCCTCTACCTCATTTTTCCTGATTGAGCATTGCTCCTCATCCTTTATTTGCCTTAAACATGTTACTTTTGTTCTTCAACAGATAATTTTGTCAAATATTCCCAAAGTATTCAAAGCAGAACTTCTTCTTAATATATTTACCCATGCTGCTTTCTCCTTAACAAAAAAAGGGCTGGCTGCAGGCTTCTGCCTCCCCCTTTTTACCCTGTTCTATCAGGTTTTGTCAACTCTAGCTCAAAAAGAAGGTCACTGGTTTGCCAAGTGTCAGCCAGTGTCACCTCATGAGTCAATCAGGATGAGCACAAAGAACAAAGACGTGGGAGGTGTTTGGTTAAACAGGGCCAAGAAGGAGGAGAAGGAATTCAGGTAATTGTACCACACATGTTATGCAAAACTAATTAAGGATGTGCTCTCCAAGCAAAAGGAAGAGAGTTGGTTGGTTCAGAAACAGGAAAATGTAGGCAAGAACCACAGGGAAATATCACGATTTTTTAATTCCATGGAGGACGGTTATTATTGATGCAAAAATAAACCGGCTGCAACAGGGTGGCTGAGGTGTGTGTTAGCTGGGAGCAGAGGGGAGGGTCACCCACTCTCTGTGATTAGAAGTGTGACCAGGAAGGTCACTGTTTTCTGCCTCCACTCCCAATAGGGCCCACCATTACCTTCCCTGAAAATCTATTATTTCCCCACCCCTCCCACTCGGCAGAAATCAAGTCCTCCTAATATGCAAAGACTTCTTTGAATATTAAGAGGTACTGAGCAAGTCAGTTATTCTTAGCAAAGCTTTCTCTATTCATCAAATCTGAGGACAGAATGGTGCATAAGTGGAGAGGGGTCAAAATGGCTTTTATAGAGAGAGGTCTCTAAAACACTTGCTGTATCATGTGCCCTGGCAGACCCCAAGGAGAGACATCACTCAGAGGTAACTCAAGCCTAAAGCCCTTGAAATCATTTATCTCAGAAGTTGCCTATGCTTTTTTCTTTTTGCCTGCAATTGGTTTAACCCAGAAATTCATGTCTCCTGAAGTTATAGCTTATGCAGTCCTTAGAAGACATTCTCCAAGTCTTCTTGGAGACTTGGAAAAAAGAATTTTTTCCAAGTGGGTTTTAGGAGAAACCTTCATGTTCTTCTGCCAAGGCAGGCATAAGTTATATCTGAGCTGGAGGTTTTCTGAAGAGCTTAGATGACTCCACACTCAGAAGAGGGAATGATAACCCCCTGAGATGAGAATCCTTCTCCGTGCCATGTACCCATGTTGGTTCAGAAAGGTCTAACAGGTTTACGCTGTCTCTGCAAAGAGCAGACTACACTCCTTAAAACCCAGGTGTGGCTCCCCTAGCCTATACCTTTCCATGGCTTCCCATGCCTTTCCATGGCTTCCCATTGCTCTTAAAATAAAGACAATAATCCTTTAGATGGTCTTAAGGATTAAGTCCTGGGAGCTTAAACCCTAGGCCCCTGGCCCCTGCCCACCTTTTAGCCTTGTAGTGCACAATTCTCATCACTGCTCTTCACACATAACCACTCTGGACCTCACTTCTTATTTCCTGGAGCTTCTAGCTCTCTGACACTGCAGGGTCTCAGCATCTGCTTTTCTCCACCTGCTGAAATTTTCTCTCACCACAGCTTTCACAAAGCTCACACCTATGCTTCCTTCAGCTCCAAGATCACTTAGTTGGAGAACTCTTCCCGGCCCAAACACTTCCCCCGTTCTCTGCTACATATTCCTACAAAACTTTCTTTCTTTCCTTTACAGCAATTACTGTAGCCTTTAGTGTTCATACATCTTTTTGGGTGGTGGTAGGGAGATTGTTTGACTAAGTACCCACCTCTCTACTTAACAGTAAGCCCCAGGAGAACAAGGATCTTATGTGTTTTCACTCACCATTAGATCCCTAATACAAAGATGTTCAATAACTACTTGTTGGGTAAATGAATGAATAAATGCTTGTTTCCATTTCCTCTTCCCATTCATTCAACAAATTACCAGCTCCAGCCATTCCCCTCCACTCTCCCAAACCTGTTCTTTCCAAGGTCACAGTGATCACACAAAAGACCAACCCAATAGACACTTTTCAATCCTAGACATGCATGCCATAACCTTCCATTTCAAAACCTTTACCATCCTGGTTCTCCAAGCTTTGTTCCTGTGTTTTTACATTGCTTCATAAGTTCTCCCCCTCTGTCCTACTGGCTGCTTCATAGGTTCTCCCTCTCTGTCCTACTGGCATGTTCCAGAGTACTTCTCAAGGATCACATCTTCTCTCACAGCCCTCTCTCTGGTGTGTACAATACTCTTCTTTAACTACAATACTTACTCTATTACTGAGTCCCAAACTTGCAGCTCTAGTTTAGACTTGGCTCTAGAAGCAGACTGACTTCACTATCTTGATCACAAGACCCCATGCCTATCTCTCCAGCCTCAGTCCTTACCATGATCCCCTTTGCTGTTGCTCCTCCAGCAAGACCAACCTTCTCTTTGTTTCTTGCCTGCTCTCTCCTGACACAGGTCCTTTGCACATGCAGTGCTTGCTGCCTGAAATACTCATCCCACATCCCTTTTAAACTAAAGTTCACTCACTCTTCAGATCACAAGACAGGTGAACAGGGGAAAGACTTCTTGGACTCTTTACATCACATCTTCCCATTGGCAGCTCTCAAAACTCTGTGCCCCTCTCCTGTCTGGTACCTGTTGAGGCTGAAACTGTGCATGCATTTCTGTGATTATTTAATTAACATGTGTCTTCCCTGTTAGCAGTGAGTTCCACAAGGGCACATGAAAATCTGTTTTTCACTGTATCCTAAAACGAAGAACATGCCTTATATATTGTTGGCACTCAATAAATATATTTGTTTTGTATATCAACTCCCATTCAACATCTTTGTAAGAATCAGTACAGAATAATAATGACTAGCACAAGCTGTGACTCAGGTAGACTTGACTTTGTGATTTTATTAATTCATTCATTCATTTGTAGGTTAATTCAATAAATGTTAATTTATGAGGGCTTACTATATGTTAGACACAATGCAAAATGCCCAGGATACAGAAGTGAGCAAAAGAGATATGATCCCAACTCTCGAAGATTTGAATCCCAGGTCTACTTACTAG
This sequence comes from Homo sapiens, assembly GCF_000001405.40. NCBI lineage: Eukaryota > Metazoa > Chordata > Mammalia > Primates > Hominidae > Homo > Homo sapiens. The sequence goes on along the minus strand of NC_000003.12, from coordinate 69,897,689 downwards.
CTATACACACAGATCAGCAGTCAGCAAACTTTCTCTATAAATGTCCAGAGGATAATTATTTTCAGCTTTGTGGGCGCAAGGTCTCTGTTGTACTACTTAAATCTGTCATTGTAGTGTGAAAGGAACCAAAGACCCTATGAAAATAAATCAGCATGACTGTATTCTAATAAAACTTTACCAAAAAAGATGGTAGCAGGATTTGGCCCATGGACATTGTTTGTCAACTCCCAATATAGACCAATTTCTTAAGCTCTACTATGTTCAGTTTTTCTTCTCTGTAAAGCATTATAGTATTATGCCTTCTTCCTTCTGTCTGGCAAGGTTCCATATACTTTACTCCTTAATTTTCTTTAACCAGTGCTTTCTTCTTACGTCTTCTGGAGCCAACACTTTCATCACTCATTCCCCAAATCATTTTGATCGCCTCCCCACCTCCAACTGCATTCCTCCAAAACCAACGCCACCATCTCCACCAGCTCCCATAGAAGTCCACCTTAACCACCTTCTTCTTTCCTAAAAGGAAAATGAAGACACGCTGTTGATGGCTACCCAATCCTGACTGCATCAGACCCAAGCTCCTGGCCCCTGCTCATCCATCTAGCTTCAGTTCCCAATACCCTCCTAGTCCTACCTTCTGCTACCTTGCATTTCACTGCTTCACACCAAAATCCAGAGTATGTATTGTTGCTTCATTTCTCTCCATGTGCCATGCCCCCTCATCCTAGTCTTTTGGGTATAACCCTACTTGTTATTCAAGTTTCCACTCAACACAAACCACTACAGGGATACGTCCCTCACCTTCTGAGGCTGAACTGCAATGTTTGAAGGGTTCAACAGTACTAGCTGATACTGATTAAGCCCTTTCCTACTTGTCCTTCAAGACTCCAATCAAAGCCAACCAGCTCAGGGGCTGTGCTAGGTACTTACATACATGAATTCATTTAATTACAGCTCTGAGGTTGGTTCAGGTGTTTATGCTCTAACTCCATTTCTACAGTCCTGGAAAACATCACGTTCTGCAAAAATCACACCTATGAATAGCAGGGCATATTAAGAAAAAAGAAGATTGGGGGCAGATCCCTCAAAACCTATGCACCTTTATAACCGGAGCACGAATAACAACAATCAGTAAACCCTAATTCAGCATCAGCTGGTTAAATTTCTACTGGATTCTGCAGCTAGCATCCCAGACAGCCTTAAACACTGGGGCTCCTGCTTCCTCTCTCAAAAGGTAGACCACGGATAACAAGTATAGATGCTTCTAATGTTGATCCTTTTTCAAAAAATTAAAATCTGATCCCAGAGACAGCCTTCTTTATGAATGTCCTGTGTTAGCACAGACAGTATTGTCTCTGCAGCTGCTGCCTCTGTATTCTCAACTTCTCCAGAGAGCAGAGCCCTGTGGAAAGCCAAGTAATGCTTTATCTAGGGCTAAGACTTTCTCTTTAAATATGATAAAACTTGTCTTTGACTACTTCAAGCATTAATATGCTGTGGGAAATGAACCAAAAGGATTTTCATGTTATACTGACATGACTGTCTTATTTGCCAACAACATGGGAGGTTTTCATGTTAAAGAAACACAGTGCAACAGATGTGGAAACTAAGGTTTAGACTAAGTCACTTGCCCAAGTTTATCAAAGGACAGAGCTAGGATTCAAGGGAAGGCAGGAAGGAGAAAGAGAGGGGGAGGAAAGGAGTGAGCGAGGGAGGGAGGTAAATAGGGGAAGGGGGGTGTTAGCATCTATAGAGGTATTCTCCAAGGATGGAAAAGAGGAAAAGTTGAAAGATCAGTGAAAATGGAAAGGCTTTAAGAGAAAAATTGTCAAAACACACACATACACACACACACACACACACACACACACACACACACACACAAACACTCCACAATTCTCTCTTAAGGAATGAATTAAAATTAGTATTAATATATAAACTGAAGGAAAGTGAGCAAAATATTTATAGAAGTGAGTCACATTGTAAATCCCCCTTCACCTGTCCTATACCCACTGACTGAACATAAAAAAGCATCCATAGCCTTTATTTGTTTTCTGCTTCATAAGGGAAAGAAAATAAGAGCTATAGAACATCCTGTGACCAAAAATTGTGTCAGAGATAAATTTTAATATTAGGGATTTAGCATACTTGAGAACTAAATATTTAATATAGACTTTAGGACATTTGTGTAAATAAACTCGTGGCAGTTTAGTTGACAACCTCGCCATCTATTCTGAATAAGTCTGTGCTCAATCTCTACGCAAAAGACCTTCAGAAAAGTCTCAGGAATGCAGTAAGTGATAACCAGGATTAACATTATTATTATAATTGGCAAAACACACTTAGACAAAATAATAGCGTATCTAAAAAAGAGGCTTTTCTCAACTCACCTGTTGCCACCCTCAAGGAGAAACTGGTGACTTAAACTATAGTGGAACTGTAAGTATTATATACACTGCTGTTCTTTATCATTACAACTGTTTTATGTATCTAACACTTAAAATAAACCTAATGTTTCTTTCAAGGCTTTTAAAGTCCTTTGTCACCTTCATCTTATCACAAATGAAACTTCAGTGGTCTGTAGGTGGGCGATTCTCCAGGAAAAAGGAGATAATTCACTGAAAGTCCAGGCTAGGAGGGAAGTCTGAGACGACTCAGATGGGGAGACCTACACCCAGAAAGACAACTTCCCCTGGGTCATACTAGGGGTCCATGCAGAGGCATGTTTGATTTCATGGTTGCAGTATCAATTGTGAAGTAGTGAACTTTGCAAGACTGGTTGGAGAGAATGGCCTCTGGTCTTATCTGAAGATAGTCTATGTAATGGAAGATAAATGGTTTAATAGCAAAAATAAAGGTCAGCAAGTAGTTAGAACTGACTACAGAACAGTCAAGGTGACATGTTTCTAAAAGGTAAAAAATATAAACAAATGAATAAAAAAATTAAACTTGTACCATAAATTACAGAGATTGGAGTGGAGGAGTTAGGATAGCACAGTAGTCTTTTTTTTTTTTTTTCACTCTTGTTGCTCAGGCTGGGGTGCAATGGCATGATCTTGGCTCACTGCAACCTCTGCCTCCTGGGTTCAAGGGATTCTCCTTTCTCAGCCTCCCCAGTAGCAGGGATTACAGGTGCCCGCCACCAAGCCTGGCTAATTTTCATACTTTTAGTAGAGACGGGTTTTCAGCATGTTGGTCAGGCTGGTCTCGAACTCCTGACCTCAGGTGATCCACCCACCTCGGCCTCCCAAAGCACTGGGGTTACAGGCGTGAGCCACTGTGCCCAGCCAGCACAGCGCAGTCCAATAAAATTAAATGGACATATCATGTAAGGAAGAAGTCGAGTAATTCCAAAGCAAATGAATCAAAACACTTAGAGACTAGATAAAAATGATTATGCAACTTGATTAGCAATGAAAACACTCTGAACACAGATCACTTGTTTTCATCAGTTGACTGGTTCTGCAATGTAGGCCCTGTGGCTTAGGGGCGAAAGGCTGTGATTAAATGTATTTTGAACCTTCAAGTTTCCCCAAAATAATAAGGCTTTCAAAAGTGAACAGTTAATAAAATCATATATGGTCACTCCTATGTAACCTGTATTCTAGAACCAAAATTGTTGGCTTCTCAGCTTATAAGTGAAAGTTTAATTTCAGAATCAAGAAACATTTTGATAGCCTGATGTCTATTAATTTTTCTTGAAACTTTAACCCCAATTTTTACCACTTTCCACAGAATTTTCTATAAGTAAGGATTTAACAGCTGCCTAATTTGGCTGTCAATCATTAAAAACAACATATAAGTCTTTTATGTAGTGGGTGTAATTTGGGGGAAAGTTAAAAACTGTGGCCAAGCATCTCACTACTCCTTATCCCCCAAAAATTACTGTTAGAGGAATCTACATAGCCAGGTAGTTTTTAAGAATTAAAATTCCTTGCTGCTGCAATGTAATTCAACAGTAATTGATTAAAAGAATCTTTACACATCCCATGCATCTCTAGAGAAATTAATTCTAGATCATAGGTAGAATCAACTTTCCTAATCTTTTACCAAAGCATTAACCTTCTAGTCACTTCTCAAGAACCCATTATGTGGCTCAATTACTGTGGACTGTGTGTCTCTGGTTGAAATGCTGATGACAGTGATCAGCATTAAAAAGTATTGCGCCTGGCACCGTGCTAAGTGCTTTGCAAGCATCATGTCACTTACTCCTCAGAGCAAGCTTATGAGCTAGGGACCTTTATTATCTCTGTTATGCAAACAAGGGAATTCAGGTTGAGAAAACATATGGATATCGCCCGATCTAACTCCAGAGCCCATGCCTTTCAACACTGCAACTAGATAGCAGGTGTAGGCATAATCAAATGCCTCTGGGCAGGAGTTCTTTGAATGAATTTTAATTGAAAAATGCAAACCCTAACAGAAAAGAAAAGTAGGTCTAGGAAACAAGGTTCACGATCCAGTGCAGAAGTCCTCAGGGGATATCTTATGGTGATTTCTCCTTTTCTTCTCTTACTAGGTGGACTATAACTATGAAAGGGAGGTAAGAAGGTGAGAAGGCAATCAGTATCATCTGGTGGAAGAAAAGTGCACTTCATGGCTATATATGAGCCAGATCTCACCTAAGGCTGTACTTGGTCATCGTGCTGGACGTGCATGTTAAGGACTCCAGCATCAGAAAGAGTTGATCTTTCCCATGGAGCTTCTTAAAATGACCGTTTGTTTTATTTCAACAGAAAGGGCAGGATGGCCACATGCACTGGATATACTGCCTTCAGGCAGAAAACCAATACAAAAAAAGAAAGGAGAAAGGAAGAAAAACACTTTCTCTTGATGTCAATGCCCCAGTGTAAAAGACAAAGCCAAGACTACAGCCACGTCAGTAGAAAGACCTTTGATGTCAGAGACAGACCATGAAGGGCCTACTGCTGGGGGAATTACAGATGTCAGGGGTCTGCAGACTCTGAAAGGGCCATTTTGTGCTACCATTTATCTAAATCCAATTTTGTAAAAAGAGTAGCTTCTAAAAGTAGAATTTAAATAACTCTTGATAGCTAAAACACAGTTCCTGAAGAAAAGTGGCTTTTTTCTTCAGAGGAGCAACCAAAGCAGGGCACAGACCATTTTTATGGCAGTAAAAATACTGTCTATGATACTATCATGGTGGATACATGTCATTACACATTTTCCCAAATTCATGGAATGCACAAAACCAAGAGTGAACACTAACATAAAGTTTGGACTTTGGGTGATAATGATATGTCAATCTAGGTTCCCTGACTGCAGCAAATGTACCACTCTGGGGTTAGAAGCTGTGAATATGCATGGGCAGGGATAAATGGCTATCTCCTTATCTTCCGGTCAATTTAGCTGTGAACCTAAAGCTGCTCTAAAAAATAAAGTCTAAAAAACAAAAAATAATATTTTTAAGTAGCTTTCAATCATTTTTAAAAGTCAAATATTTCAAGGCCCTATTTGATTACGAGTTGTGCTTTGGTTTTTGTTGATCAGGAAAATGCCTAAAAATAAGAAAAAAAATGAAACATAGAGCTCTGATATCAATTTGTACTTTATCATAGCAGCATCTACATTTATTAGTAAAAGAGATGAATGGTACATATGTGACATACATATTTAATTTACAAATATTTGTGGACAAATGGATTCACTGACCCTCAGAGTTCCTGGAAAGGCCCAGTGCTAAAGCAAGTCATTTTAGAGTTTCTTATTGTTTTCTTATCCTCAATTCACCTCCTCAAGACTTGACAGAATTAACCTATTTTTATAAACTTTTCATAAATATATGCACATAATAGAATGTACCACATGTACAAGATACCCTAAATAGCTATTAGGTATTTTGCATCTTCCACTGAGCAACTCAAGGCAACATTTCCTTTGCCTGTCTTACTCCTCCCCTTTCTTCTCAAAGTGCTTGCCCACTGTACCACTGTTGGAGATTTGCCATAACTCTTTACATGTTAAAGGATCTCAGAGGCTCTACAGTAAAGAAATTTATTTGACTTTATTTGCCTCTGCATTTTCTAATTTTTCTTACATTTCTTACAAATTAACCTCCAGGTTTCTACAGCAGTGATTCTCAAACATGAGCATACTTTAGAATCTTTCAGAAGGCTGGTTAAAACACAGATTAATGAGCTCCACCCACAGAGTTTCTGGTTCAGTAGGCCTGGGATAGGCACAGGGAATCTGTATTTCTAACGAGGTCGCAGGGGACGCAGTGGCTACAGGTTCCAGAGCACACTTTGAGAACCCCTGAGTTACACAATGCTTTCCACCATTTGAGGTTAAGTTCTAAACATCTTAGCTTCATGTCAAACTGATGAACAGAGATTTTATATCAAAATTAAATGTCTTGTCAGAATGTTCAATTTGTCTTCCCTCTCTATGAGACATTGGGAGTCCCAGGTGTCAATAAAAATGGTCACAATTGCCCATATTCATAACATTGTATTATGAGCTCTATCAAGATTCTTCTAATTCATTAGTTGAAAAATTATTTAGGTATGTGATTTTAAAACAAACCTGGAAAGCTACTGGAAAACTGAAATCAACTTTGCAATGGCCTGAAAGTTTATTAACTTATGTTAATGGAAGATAATAAGAAAATATTGAGATTAATACAGACTCAGAAAATAGATCTAACTCCAAACTAAGGAAATCATGAAATCTGACAACGTGATGATTTTTCTTTCTGGAGGTCATAGCATGGTTAACATTTTTGCTCCCTTGGCTTTCTTGCTTTTTGTAATTGCACAAGAATGTGACTTTATAGGCTCTTAGTATTATATGAAGAACACATTAAATCTCTCTAACACAGTTTACTAATTCCAATATAATTGACTCATTGTTTGCATTAGGAATGAAAAGGTGACTAACAAAATATAAATTATCACTTAGGTATTATTTCTGGTTTAATAAGCGGTTGAAAATTACTATCAAAACAGAAAACTTGGTTATCTAATGAATTACTAAAGAACTGTTTCATTGCATTATGAGCTGTGCTATAATTTCCTAAAAATATACCGCAAGTTAACTAAGAAAGAAAATTGCCTTAGAGACATCAGCACAAATAAAAATCATACATAAAACCCCACCAAAAAAACCTAGTTTTCAATATCCTTCATGTTAATCAATCTATGTAATGTATGGTAAAGAACAATGTATGATTAACTAATCTCCTTGTCCCCTAATGTCTGTCTCACACCAAGAACATTGATTAAATGCTCATATATTCGCAAGACTTTAGACATCTTTAACACACCGGACAGGTGCTATGTAAGTGTGATATGTGTAGGTTTGAAAAGAACCTGGATTGAGAGTATGAGTAAGATGTGTGGCTAACAAGTTGAGGGCTGTCACCATGCTCAAGTCTGAATGGAAGGCTATTGGCAGAGATGAGTCAAAATGCCATGTTACCAAGGGTGACTCGTTGCTGCTTTCTCCTATAAGAGGCTGTTTTTGACAGGAAATATCAACCATACATAAGATATGTCAGCTAACATGGGCTCCAAATAATGAGCAAGAAAATAATGACTAATTTTTTTGTGTTTTCTTTGTGGCGGGCAGTAGGAAAACAGTAATACTTTGTAGGTACAATAGTGGCATATGAAGATGGCAACTTAGAGAAGATAATAATTTTTATATTCGTGTGATTAATAATTGTAAATCATTATGTGATTTATTATTACCAACAGTAGAGCAGAATCCTTTCCTGAGCACTTTCCATCTACTTGGCTAATGCCTTAGTTCTGTGCTGTCCAATGCAAAGACCACGTGTGGCTGCTGAGCACTGGAAATGTGGCTTGTTCAGACTCATTCAGACTGAACTTTTCATATAATTTAATTTAAATCTAAAGACATATTCAATTTATTTATTGGAAATCTTTTGAATACGTTTGAAACAAGTTAGGTATATGAATCTAACTTTTTCAATTATACATTTTATAAAATCTAAACACAGGTCAAATAAATTTTCTGATGAAAATTTAGTGTCCAAATTGGGGATGTGCTGGAGGTATAAAATATACATGCAATTTTAAAGGCAGCACAAAGACTTAGGAAAAAATGTGAAAATATCTTGTTAATAATTTTTATACTGATTACATGTTGAAGTGATATTTTAGATATTTTGGGTTAAATAAAATACATTAAAATTAGTTTCACTATTTTTTTTTTTTTTTTACTATTTTTAGTGAGAGTACTAGAAACTTTGAATTTATGTACTTGGTTCATATTCTATCAGACAGCACTGCTTTCGTGAATTATCTCATTTAACTCTCGCAAAAACTCCCCAGGGCGAGTATTATTACCTCCATTTTATAGATGAGGACACTGAGACCCAGAGAGAACAGGAAATGTGCCCAAGTTCACAGAGTTATGAATCAAAGACAGCCTAATCGTAGATTTTCAACAGGGACCCTGATTAAGGTCTCATCTCAAAGCATAATGAGGTCCATCAGTTAGCATTAATGGGAATCTGGCATTCAAACTATAATGCACTACAGTGCTTGGATACTAAGGGTAAGAGGCTGAAGTCATGAGGTTCTGTGCTTCTCATAAATTCATTCTTTTAAGATTAGCCTGGCTGCCATAAATATCACCAAACATTTAACAATGCAAAAAAAAAAAAAAAAAAAAAAAAAACCAAAGGCTATTACTACAGCCTGTCTTACCAGACGAAGGATTCAAATTAAATTCCATCAAATCACACCGAGCCAATACACTTTGACAAGCACCTCACATCCCAAATCTCTAAGAGCCTGGATTTTTTCGTTTTTTGTTTTAAATTTGTTCCCCTTTTCTCTTCACCAAGACAGAAAAGAAAGCCCAGTAAAATGCTGAATGGGGCAAAAGGAAAGGCAACAAAGTTAATAGGGGGGCCATAGATGGCCCTTCAGAATTTGTAAAAACACAAAAACAAGAGGGCGCATTTCCATCGCTGCACAATATTGCTTTTGTTTAAGAGCCAAGTACCAGTCTTGAAACGTGTGGGTAATAAATCAGCAGGCATTATTTTAAATCAACCGGTTTTATAAAATAAGCCAAGAGTTGAAAGAGGCAGGACTAATTACCAACATTCCTTGATGAATTACTTAGCGGCGTGTGCTAAGTCAATGTACGTCTACGGCTTGATCCCCAATTTTATCCCGTACTTATTTCCCAGGAGGTAAAAAGAACATGTGGCTAATTAAGGCACCGATCTCCACAGCCAGAAGTACTCAAGGTAAGATTTCTTTCAAAAGAAAAAAAAAAAAAGAAAAAAAGAAAAGGTTCTTTGCCTGGTACTTATTAATCTAATTTTTACTACTTCACTAGAAAAACAGAGCTAATCTTGTCACCTTTAGGCAGTCTGAACTACCATGCAGTGTTCAGAAAAAATGTTACATATTTGTAATTTAGCCAATAAGAATTTCTTAAGCCTTTCCTAACTGGCAGGAATGTCTCTGGTTTGTCACTTCCAATTAAGGCTCAACAAAATTTCCAGCCCCTAAATTTTAATTATACAAAACCCAGGCCCAACAGGGGAGATTACAACAGAGTTATGCATGGTAGTAAGGTAATAGAAGTCTGAATTTTGCTTTTCATTTTGGGCCTCTTAACTACTTTTAAAAATTACTTCCCGACCGGGTGATTGAAATCCTTTTGCTCACTTTGAATTTGCAGGATTCCTACACCTTGTTATCTTTCTTCTAGGAAAGACCACTAGAGTTACATAATGTGTCTAAGTCTAGTAAACTGGTGAGTTTACACCTGACAGAAGAACTGTGCTCCTCAAAAAGTTGTGGGTGACTCAAATAAAATGCATCAGGACATCACTTTACATAAAGAATGCATGCATATGCTCTCCTAGTAAAAATCATAATAATAATGATAAAGCCTTTGACCACCACCGCTTCCAATCCCAATACTCACTCCAGAGACAGCTGGTAGAAACAATGGTATAGATTCACCTATACCCTTTTCTAGGACATTCCCTATTTTTAAAAAGAGTAATTAAAACAATTTCTTTTTTAGGACCATTCTCTCCTTTAACAGCCCCCTGCTTTACCTGATTCATATGCTCCAATTCGGATTCATTTCCTTTTCATAAAGTTATAAATTACTAAACAAAAAACATCTAAATTTATAAATAAGATCTGAATAACTGGTATATTATCTGGAGCTAAATGTTTTTTTAAGTTCAAGCTGATCCTCAAAGAAGTCAATAAAAGGAGACACATTCAGGGCAAGAGCCAATATTCTAGTACTGATTGCAGTTATAACCTTGAGTGAAGCCACTGTACTGATTTACATATTTTTAACACAGATCACACCCACCGATTTTAGTAGAGCAAAGTTAAAATTAGATTTTGCTTACACATGTTCACAATCTCTGTTCAAAAGCGTGCTAACTGAAGAGTCTTTCAAATTAAGTGGTCTTTCAAAGCTAAGTCCTTTCTTTAATTGTTGGGATTAAATAGGTAATATTTGTGAAGGAGACTCATGACTTTTTCAATATAGTAATAGAAGATTTATTACCACTGACATTTACTTAAAAGCAAATAGAAAAACCACCAGAAATGAAGTTCCAGTTGTTAAGTGCTAAAATATGGCAAGAGCTCTAATATTGCAAGGTGCATGGGAAAGGAAAAACCAAAAATGCAAACATAATTTCAGAAGAAAATTGATATCAAAAGTGTGTGAGTCTACTGAATTATTTCAAAAATCATCTAAAACAATGCAAATATATTAGTAAATACTCAGAACTATAAAGCATATGAATTGTAATAGCATGGACCATCAAGATCTTTAGAATATAAGTGACTTGAGTTATGATTTTTGGATGTTGTTATAGAAACTTTCACTGTAGTGCTTTTTAACCCATAATGATGACTATCAATAAAGCATAAATTACCACGGGGGTCAATGTGGCCAGGAAGTCTTTTTTATATAATAAAAACACATCCAGTTCTTTCATCTGGCATATTGTGGAGACTCATGAGGATATTTTAACTATTCAATAGGGAAGCCCCTTACTAATTCAAATGCTTAAGCTCATGTATCTTTCTGTTAAGCCTGTGAGACTCCTCTGTAGTTTCTCTTTGACCTCCCATTTTGCTCTAATATATTCTGTTACTGGTGATTCTTTAGAAATGTTTAGAGCATGTCCTTACAGTAGGATGTGTGCTTATAAGCAAATAAGGTAGTGTGTGGAGTCTATGTAACCAGGGATCAGTGATAATCTAAGCCTCAGTTTCCCTATCTGGAAAATAAGGCTTATCCTACTTGTTTCCTAAGGTTACTAAAATAATAAATGAGCTAAAAGACCTGAAGTGTTCATCCCACCATCCAATCCACCCTATAATTAATATCCACGTTGTCAAGGAGGCACAATTGCCTTTCCTCCTCCAAGGTGCTTCAGGTAGTGTCACGTTCACATCAGTAATTCCTATAAAAGTTTAAGCTATGGATTGAAGCTCTGTAGTAAACATTTGCTACAAGCCCCAAGCTACCGTGTCATTTGAGAGGCTGAACATTGCTATCTCTCCCTCCTAATGTTTCTCAGGTCATTCCCTCCAGGAGAGGTATTACCACTAGTGGCCCATGGAGTTCAACTATATGAGTTCAAATCCTGACTGCACCACCTACTTGGGTGACTTTCTGATGACCTAGTTGACCCCTCTGTGACAGTTCCTGCATCTGTGAAATGGGGATGCTAATAATAACTACCTCACAGAGCAATGGTGGCATTAAATGAGTCAATACAGGTAAAGTTCAATGCTGGCACTTGCTGATCATGATTGTTCTCATAACAGTTTTCCTGGGGAGACACAGACCAGACAGAATATAGGCATCACATCTATAGGAGCCTCCACAAATGGTCCCTAAACAAAACACAAAGAATTGGGAAAGATGCTGGTTCCTCTGCAGGAATGTTTCTCAATCTTTTATTCATTAGTATCCCAATAAAAAGCCTTTTAAGACATTTTTCCCCTAATTGCTTCTCCTTCATCCCCATCACCATAAAATTTTAAAAGACACATATACTGTTTATCGGTTTATGTACTGGGACTTTGGAGGTTTAGAAACCATTGTAACATCTAAGACTCTTTTGCCCTCCAACAATCCATTTTTGTCCTACTTGTGGGGAGTGACTTCGCCCCTGTTGAGGATGCACGTTCTACTGGTCTCATGACATTAAAAAAGAAATTACCATTCAGAGTCAGATGACACTAGGCCCACTCCAGTTTTTAGCCCTCACTTCCAGGCCCCAGACCTTAATATTTTCCTTATGATACTGCCTTCACCTCTGGCAGTATGGAATTATGAGAACTGTGTAAATGAAAGGAGACTGCACCTATTAGTATAGCCTCCTCTAACAGGAGAAAACGAGGAGGAGCCAAACAGGTGTCTCTTCTCTTTGAAACCCACAGGATGAATTCAGTGATTGCAAAGGGGCTCATGGAGAAGATGGCAAAGATTCTCCTACTTAAAGAGAGAGCGCCATGTTGCGTATCTGCCAGCATTTCATTACTAGCTACTAGTCAAGTGTCCACCAGGTACATCAGGCCCTATCCACAACCTGATGAAATCAAACCCAGATTGTGCTGTACAAAACCCAGATTGTGCTGTACCCCTCAGTTACATGAAAATGCCCTTGTGGTCATAAAGGGAGAAATCATTTCCATTCTGTGCCAATATTGCCCAATGAACATGTAATTAGAGCTGAAGTTCCAATGTTTCCAGAAACTGGGATTAATTCATAGGCTTAGTTGTGTAAAGGCTGAATATTTTGTTTCAGATAGTTGGTCTCATCGGTCTGCTCTTTTAAGTAGATAAAACCTAAAAATTTAAGCGAAGATGACTTTCTGCAGCCAGCATTTCATTACTAGCTACTAGTCACTAAAAGCAGTGCAGACAGAAAAACCAAGTCCAACATGAATCCAAAAGCACTTACTGTGATTCTTGCACTTATTGCAATTCTTGCACTACTGAGCCTGTGTTAAGTTTGACTTTACCAAGTAAGACAACTCTATGGAGCACTTTCTTGTGTCAGCCCAGAGATCACTAAATCCTCACCCCCAAGTGTTCATAAAGCAGCCTGGGAAGCAAAGGGGCTGCCACTCAGTGCCGTGCAAGCTGGTACATACTTACACATTGAACCAATTAAACTGCTCTCAAGACACAGGGTGAGAAGTCCTCACTGCACATAGGGAAGAGTGGACCTTGAAGCGGGATTCTTAAAGATAGAGACAACCCAGAAGGAAAATAAATTATACATTTTTTTGTTCCATTTGCAAATATGAACAAAGAAAAATAAAGGGTTTATGTCTACCTGATAAAAAGTGACTAACATATTTCTTCAGACCTCGCTCCTATAAAAGGCAACTGATGGTAGGGTTATTAAACAGAAAATAACAGGAAGGCTGCATCCTAAACTGTTAACAGTCGTTCCTTCCAGGGAACATGACGGAAGGGAGGCGGTGGTAGGCAGGGTGAGATTCATATTGAACTATTCTGCTGCATTGTTTAAATCTGTTAAAAGTTAACAAGTATTATCTGCAATTTAAAAAGTCAATAACGTGAGTTTTAAAGAGAGAGAAAATTACCTTATGTGTGACACTGAATGATTCAGATTCTGCAGGGAAATGAGGTTTCTGGGAGAATGAAGAGCTGTCTGTTGACCTGAAATCTGAGTCCCTTTCTCCCCCTGAATGAGGATGTAGCCTTGCAGACACCAACATTGATTCAAAAACAAAAGGACAACAATGTTTATAAATGATCCCTGAAATCAAGGCTGACAGGTTGTTTGTGTAAGTCAAACTACAAGGGTCATAAGTATATGCTGGTCCATGTGTGAATGGACTATGCTATAAGAAGAAATCTTAGACATAGCAGGTCTTCACCTTATGAGAGTGACACCTCTAGCAACAGATCCCCTAACTGAGGGGACAAAGGCAAGCTGATCTGAGACACACTACATCTGTTCTGGCTTCTTGCAGCCACCATGATGCTATTTAGGGTCTGTATTCCTGGCTAAATAAACCAGAAACAAAATCTAAGGGTAGGTTGTGGGAGAAGTCCCTTTTGCCAATCTGTAGCCCACCAATCCACCTGTAACTCCACACACATTTTCATGTTCTGTGTTATACCTAAAAAATAAATCACACCTTGAAAATTCTACTCCATGCAGATTTCATAATTTACAGAGAAAGACCAGTAGTTCAGCCATTAACCCTTCCCCTCACTAGTGAAATATGGAATGTCAGTTTTTGAAAGAGGGTAACAAGGAGCAGGGCTTCCAGCCCACCTCGCTAGAATCTCAATACAAATGAGAGGCAACTTTGACGAGATAACCACCAAATAAATGCCCACGTAAATTTAGTTTACAATGTAGAAGGTCCCAGAAAAAGTGCTTCTGTATTTGACAAACAGCAAGCATCATCACTAATTACAGAGCAATTTGCGCAACTCTTGAGATGATTTGGAGAAAAGGGAAAATTTAAAAATAAATTCCTTCAAAGTAGTTAAGAAATGCCCCAAAGTAATAAAAAAAATCTTTTCCTTTTAAAATTCATGCAACCTTTCCCTTAAGCAGAACAGAAAAATTCAAGGGACAATCCGTTCCAGAGAAGACACTTCGACTTTGCCTTTAAAATTTTAAATTTCAAGGTGAAAGGAAGGGAGGGAGAGACAGAGGTAGTGGGGAATCCTTGGCAACTCCCTTCAGATTTCTGAACAGAGAAACATTTTCAAACTGTAAACTAATGTTTTCAAGCTTTCAACCGTCAAAGCCCATCTTGGGAAGGTAGTAGGGGAAGAAATCCTGATGAACTTAGTCCAGGATGAGAGCGACCAGTGCTTTTATAATTCATCAAAGTCAGAGAGACAAAACTATGAAAACAGATGCTTGGTGACTACATAAATGATTAACTTGGTGGTTTGTACCGTGATGCTTTAGCTATAAGGCTGAACTCACCTACAGTTCTGTCCCGTTACTCTGTTTTTGTTTGAAAAAAGCTACATCAAATTTCAAACTTCAGGTTTGCATGACTTGCATGTCAGCAAAACCCACTTGTGGAAGAAACTGATTCCATTAATGGTTCTTGATGACTTTTTTTTTGTTGTTGTTAATTCACAACTCAAAATACAGGGTGTGTTCACCATTACAAAAAAATGCATTATGCACTCCAG
Source organism: Homo sapiens (assembly GCF_000001405.40). NCBI lineage: Eukaryota > Metazoa > Chordata > Mammalia > Primates > Hominidae > Homo > Homo sapiens. Next base: position 69,882,494 of record NC_000003.12, on the reverse strand, counting down.
GTGTTGGTTAATTTATGGTAAAAGAGCATCCTTAAATTACAATACCCAATTGGGTAAGGTTGTTCTTAAAAAACTTGGAGAATATCTTTACTATGTAAATATATAGCAATAAGACTCATGATTCCATGTCCCCAAAAATGAAAATCAATATGAAGGAAAATTCATATATTATTAAATCAATATAGAAACCAGAGGCTAATCTTACAAAGATTCATGAACTTACTCACGGCACAATGACTATACGTTGAGGAATGAGTGGTGCAGATTTTCGATCTCTAACCCAAAATCTGACTAGTCCTAAGTTTACCAGATGTCAATAACTTTTAAACATGCTTTATAAAGCTTCATATTTTAAATTTTACTCTGCCAAAAAAAGGGATTAACCTGAAAACACTGCTTTAGCTTTTTGAAATCAGTCATTCATCCAGATAGCAGAATGTTGGTAACTTAACTTTGTGTGTGTATGAAAACTAAACTATGACCTTTCTTCCCTCTGGTTCTTACAAACAACTTGGGAGACGGAGAGATTTAACCAGATTCTCTAGTGCATGCAAGTGTGACTAATTGTATACATCTACCTCCACTGAGAAGCAGGCATGTTCTGTTTTAGCAAGTTAAACCTTTAAAAATTAAGCGAATTTACTCAGGCCATACTATGAGAAAATATTTATTCAATATAATCTGTATCATAATGCACTCAATTAGTATACTTGGTATTACCATTCTTTGAAAATATATATTCATGGAGAAATAAATGGTCCAAGATTAAGCATATTAACTGTTTTGCTATTAACCACTTACTTCACAAAATTATGCTTATGATTTAAAAACTATAAAAAAGAAAAAAAAAACCACCTTTCTCTCACTTATCTTTCTATAATGTTTCATAATACTTTTATACACAAAATTTTGAAAATAAGCCAACTATATTTATGAAGTCCTAAGTCTTTAAGTATCTGAAGCAATCACTTATATGATATTCTCTTTAAAAATGTTATCTGATTTTCTTAAAATATTGTCTTAATAAAATCGTGTATTCTTATTTGTTTCTTCATTTAAGAATACCAAAATTTGTCTAAATAGCTATCAAACCTAACCATATAGCTATGGCAATAATTCCTTATTTTTATTTATATGACATAGTTTACTAGTTTATATAACTGAAATATAAAAAAGCAGAAGTTAAATAGACAGGAACTATATTCAGAGTGAAAGAGAAATTTACCTAATACTTATTTTTAGTTAGAGTATGTCGTCCAGCTGTAACAATTTATTTGTGCTTTAACTTTGGACATTTTTCTGGCATACATAAGTTAGGGGTTGTAGCTCAATCCAGTGTCACCAGGACACAGCAACATATAAAAATATTGGTATGTTATTCAAACAACTTAATGTAGATTTTAACTTTAATCATTTTCAAAAATAATATATTTACAGTGACAAAAGCATTTAGAAATTATGCTCACTTTTAAGATAATCTGGAAATGATGTTTCAACACATTTTCATTTGGGTAATTTCCTCTCTGTTGTAGCTGCCTTAACAGGAATATTGATTTTAATAAAAATTCTTTAACATTACCTTCAGTTGGATATAACCCACTAGTAGCCCAAATCCATGGCAACTCTTCTAAAATTTGCCCTACAGATTATAAAGGTGAACTATTATGATGAATAAAATAGACATATTTCTCCACATCTTGTTACTATTTAATTCATACAATTTTAAATAACCTAAGGTATACACAATGATTATCACCCCTGCAGGCATGAGACAACAACATAAATCTTAAATAATTCTTAAATCTATAAAAACTTAGTGATCATATCAATTTTCACCCAAGCAGAACAGAAAGATTCAATGCATCATCTACTCCAGAGAGAAAACCTTGAGTTAACTGACGGGTAAAAAAAGAAAGAGGAAAAAATCCATTAACTGTGGCAATATCCAGAATTTCAAACAATCACATTAGAGTAAAACTTTATGCTAAACTATTTGTATCTTTTTTCCCTAACCCAATTTCAGTTGGTTTCTTCATCCGAGTTCCATTATTGCATCACTATATTTTAAGTCTTCGCAAATAAAAAATAATTGACTCTTGATTTGTTTTTTAAAGAATCTCTTTCCTACTTCCTGGTAAGGTTCACAGATTGATTCCTGATTATAACACATCATCTCTCTATTTACTTTAATAGTAAACTTTAAATAATGGGAGACATTTTTTCTGTGCACATGGATGAATGCAAAAACCAATAATGAATCACCGGTCTGTAAAGTTCACATTGTTTAATGAACAGTAACACTTGAGACTTTTCAGAATTAGGTGAGCAGGTACTAAAATAAAAAAACTAAAAATAAGGAAGTTCCTCTACTTTCCTTTTAACTTTCCTTGAATCAGTCATATTTAAGAACTGAAATGTTTATTCTTAAACAAGGAGTATCTCCCTATGTGATGTGGAAGACACGTGTGAGATGGAATTCTATTCTTAGACTTGTTACAATTTTCCTTAGTAATTAGGAAGCTATATGTCCCTAATCGAATGATGCTAACAAGCTCCTGCAGTTTCTACTCTAGCAAGAAATCAAAGAGACCCAAAGCAGACAACTCACTTCAGTAAAAGGATTATGTAGTCTGGTTATCAAAGCGCAGAAAGCTCTTCTTCAATCTTATATGTGAAGAGCTCTCTAAAACAGTCAGATTTTACAACCAATATTACATACTAAATAAAAAGAAAAGTAAAGAGTGGCTATGGAAGGTATTTAAGAGAAAAATATTTAAGATACACAAATTATCAGAAGAGGCCCACCTCAGATAATTCTGGTTTTGAAACTTTCCCAAAGAAAGATGTCATCACAACAAACATGTATTCCTACTTGCAATTTCTCATGGAACATTGACTCCCACCATTTACTGATTGTTACTATTACAGTTACAATGCGTTTGCATCCTTCTTTTAAAATATAAAGCCACGTAAGAATTAAGGGAGTTGGAGTTTTCAAATATAATTCTGAAGGGTCAGTCTAACAAAATACATATTCAGATAAACAAAACACCTAGCAAATGGAAAATGGAAGAGAGTTTGGTCCAACCAACAAGAGCAACACTCACGTACCTTAAGGACTTCCATCGGCACCTGCGTGGCAGAGGGAAGGGTGGTGGGCACACTGACGTTTATGGCTGGTGTCTGACTCACGGGCACTCTCTGTTGCATGAACTGGGCCGCCTGCAGCTTCTGCTGCTGCTCCCTGCGCTCCTGCTCCTGCATCTGCTCACGCATGAGTTGCTGGCGTAGCAAGATGCGTGATGTCATACTGGAGGAGCTTATCGGAGGCTTGGAGGCCCCAGGATGCTCGGCGGAACTGCTGTGGGAAAACCAAAATGCATACAACATTTAGTTTCCTAATGAGACCCTTCGTTTGCACTTTGGGGGTATCCTAAATTGCACCAAACTATAAAATGAGTCTGCGCAAATATAATCAAGTCACAGAATGGTACTCCACATAATTGAAAATCAAGAGGTGACAGGATTTAAGTCATTAGTAGTTGAATTAAAATAAGTCAGCTTGATTGCATCAAGGCATTTTTATCAGGCGGCTTAATTTTTTTAATTTTTTTTTTTTTACATTTTATGCTGCACACTACTCATCACCACCAAATATAGCGCCACCATATGCACTGCCAAGAAGCAAAGCATCTTAATGGCACCCAAATTTCCACATTTAAAAATAAATTGCTTGATTTGCTTTTTTGTATAACTGAATCTAACCAAATAACTACTCCTACATGTTATCTAAGTTCTTTGAAGATGCCTAAAATGTTTACTAACAAATATTGATTAAAGAAAAGGTGAGCTTTGCCAAGAGGAAATTTTTCTAAGATAAAATAAGTAAAAATAATTAATGAAGGAAGCATTTGGGCCAGAATGTTAACACTGAACTCGACCTCGCTCTTTGGGTAAGGGGGCAGAAGACGAGCTGGTCTGACAAGCCAATACTTCTCTGTCTGGTTTTCTTTGTGCTGTCTTTTCTTCTGATTCACCTTGGCATGCCCTCTACTATGTTACAATGTGTTCTCTGTGCATTCCCCATGAGGACTACTTCTAATGGTTTTGGTACTCACTCTACCCAAAATAGTTTAAAATTCTGAAACCCTACTCACAAATTAAAAAGAAAAAACTTCCTAATTTTCCTAAATATGGTTTCTGATAACTTATCTTGCCAGCTCTATGACATCAAGTTATTAAATCTCTCTCTGTCTTAGTATCCGGAAAAGAAGGATAACAATAGTTTTTTACCCACTTACCATTTATAAAGGTGGGAGCTGTTCTTTTAAAATTTCTATAGCATCATGTATATTTTAAAGCCCTACTTCCTAGGGATTTTGGGGGATTAAATAAAACAAGGCACATAAATGCCCTAGTACAATGAGTACCATGTAGTACTGGCTCAACAAATGTTTGCTGTCACTATTATTATAGGTAGAAAATGTTTCATTGTTTATTTCTCTCTCTATATATATTTTTTAACGTCTGTGTTTAGGTCAACGGTTCAAAACCTTAGCACCTGGAACAGAAGAAAAGGAACATTTGAGAAAATATTCACTCTTGAGAAAGTCATGCTTCGAGGTAAGTATTTGTACTTTGAACTTCCTTCCTTGAATATAAACTCTGGTATTATCTTTTACCTTCTAATAAAAGGCAAAATGAAGCCTTAAATATCATTGACCATCCTCATGAGCTCCTTAAAGACAGGAACCTTCAGGCTCTGAAGGTAACAAAACATGCTAGGGGATGAAGAAGTATTGGTTTTACCCTCACGCTATCCCAGAAAAACTACACAATAACAATTTAACAGTTCGCTTATTTTCACAACAGGAAATTGGCTCAGTATATTGTCAGAGAATCAAAATGTAACATGATGCAACCATTAAAACTAGTGTAAAAATATAGTTACTGATGTGAATAAAACTACACAATACAAAGAACTTAGAAAAGCCAGATACAAAATAGTATTTAAGGTAAGATCCAAGGTTTTTTTTTTTTTTTAATAAACAAACTGTCTATGACAACAAAAAGCATAAGAATAATGTTACTCTACACCATTGCTGGTATATATTAAAACAGCTTAACAACACTACCAAAAAGCTAAAAATTGTTCATACAATTTGATTCAGAAATGTTGTGATGGACAATTTTCCTAAGTAAATAACTTAAATGTGCAAAAACTGATATTACAAAGCTCTTTACAAATTGCAAAATATATGAATAATAAAAAATTTGTCCCATACTATGAGAATGGTTAAATACATTATCATATATGAATTCAATAAAATACTACCTATTTTTTTAAATTGTGCAACTACAGAACAAAGTGGGAAATGTATGTAACAAGAGGGAATTTAAAAGTAGGATTCAAAAGTATATTTACATTCTAATTTGAAATAAGTGTGGTATATGCATGTATCCAAGTATGCAAAATGATTAGTAGGGAATGTCCAAAGATCACGATAGTTGCCAGGGTGAGAATAGAACTACAGGTAAATTTATCTTTCTATCATTTTACTCCCCTCAACTATAAAGAAGTCATAGTATTTTTTCAATGGCAGAATATATGCCTCTAGACACTAATTTAAGACCATGAAAAAAGGACTTGAGTGATCAAAATCACCATTTGGCTAGAAGAAAGGGGACAGAATCCAACATAGACAACACTTTGACAATACGATGGGAAAGTGGTGAATATATCCAGTACATTGGCAAACTTGGAAGTGCTCAGCATTCCAGAAAACACAAACCCTCTTTCCTTCATGTTTTCCTACATTTTCTACAGACACATACAAATCGAACAGCATTAATACCTTGCATATTATTTAATATCATGCACTCATCCACATATTAAGGGCACTTGGCCATTATTCTAACTCACTTAAAATAATCTATTCACTTGATACAGCTCTACTAAAAGAGCATTTAAAAATGTATTTTCCCATTTTAGAGTATGTGTTCAAAGCTCAAATGTACCTTCCTAAGCCAAGAAAAGAAGGAGAGCTGTGATGAGGGGCATGGCGGGTGGCGGGGGGAAGCGCGGGGGGAACAGTTATTTTAAAATAAATAAATAAATAAGCGGCCTTACTATTCAAAGCCTGTCAGGTTAAAACATTCCCAGAGAGACTGATCCTTTTGATAAAAACAGAAGCAAACCTTTGTGCTGTAGCAAATGCAGCTGTGGAATAATCGCACTAATTAGCTGCTCAAGACGAGTCATTGGCTGTGATACTGGGGGAAGAAATCCTTTCAATTAACAGTAAAGCATTCTTAAGACATCTTAAATTAAAATTTCTAGTTATCAACTGCACTAAGTCTTCATACGTGAAAGTCGACAACAATATCATTCAAAGCATTTTCTGAAATATCCTGTCTGAAAAAAAAATACGTATGTATGAAGTAGACCAGTATAAGTGAAAAGAAACCCCACTAAAAAATAGAGCAAATATATTTTTATAGTTATATAAATATAGCACAGCTCAGTTAATTGACAGTGTTTTAATAAATCTTCCTGCAAAAAAACCCAAAAGTGCAAAGGAAGCATTAGAGTCGCCTCATGGCACACACTCCCTGCGGGATATTTCCACATTGTGAAAGATGACTCCCAGATTCTCAGCTTTGCTCTCAATCTTCTAAACATCCCTTTCTCTTAGAAGTAACTGAATCTGCAATTATCACCTTCTAGACAAAAACAAGGATATCTGCATGTCACAATGTTAGCAGGACAAATGAGCATAATGTCTTAAGCTCCAAATTGAGGTTTATGTGAGAACATTACAAGTGGCAACAATGCTTATTTTTTAAAACGAGGACGTGATGCTGAAGCTACTAATGATACACAAGGAGAGATGTCCAAATGTATTTAATTTTAAAAGCTAACTGAACTCATCCCAGGCCATGAAGCTGAATCTTCGCTAGATAATCCTAATTCCATGAGTCTGATTCCTTTTAATCAGATTATGTAAAGGTCATTTATTCAACAAATAGTTATTGCCAGGTGCTGGGAATACCTGGTTTCTAATCTCATAGAGTTTAAAGCCACAGTCACATAATTCTTCTGAGACGCCTTAAAATTAAGTCAGTTACCTAGACTACGGAACTCTGATCAAGTCCCACATGGGAAGGTGGGCATCTCACCATCAGAAAGCTCCCTTTGAAAGCCGATGGGCAGAGAGACAAATGCCTTTACTGGCATGTATCGGCATCACTGAAGCCAGGCACACAACTCCCCTGAGAACTGGGAATTTGTCAGCAATGGCTCGAGGAGGAGGGCCACCGATTGGACTCAAGGGCTAGCTCAGTCACTGCCGAGCTGCATGAGCTTTAATGAGCCACTTGACCTCTCTGGGCTTTTCCAAAACCCAGCATTTTAATGTGCTGCAGGGATTGGGTCAGTTAATGTTCACTAAATTAAAGTGTTCAGCACAGTGGCTGGAGGTATACAGACACCAGATGGCCACCAAATGTGACCTGAGTTCCTACCTCTATGGCAGAATTTACATTCTTAACCTTCAAAGCCTCCCTCTTCTCTGTGATGGTATAGGTATTTTGGACATGGGCTCTGAACTATCTGACGTTTTGCTAAATCCCAATACTTTATTCTATCTTTGTCAGCCACCTAACAATATCAGAAATTCCATTAAATTCAATGCTCCAGCATCCAAACATCTGTCTGCCCACCCCTCACCTTTGACATGATGCCAGTGTTCTTTTACTATCTCATAGGGACTGGTCTTTGGTCTCAATATCACAGTCCTCTAAGACAGTACTCTGGTCATCAGTAGAAACCTAGAGACGCTAAAGCAATGTTCTACTTTTCCTTGCGTTTCCTTTAGTCCACTCCTCAGGCAGAGTTCAGCTGGGCTGTGCGGTAACTTGTGACTGTGGCCCAGTTAGTCTATCTCTGTGCTTCGCAATACATCTGCCTCTCAGCACTGTGGTGAGGATTAAAATTTTTAATAGATAGAAAAACTTAGCACAATGACTGAAACATGGTCCAATAAACTGGAATACAGTTCAAAAATTAGTGGTAAAAATAATAATATTAAACCATGAGCATGCTTCTTCTTTTGGATACAAGGAATCTACTTTTTATATGCCTATGTGCAAGTTTGGACCACAGAAGATATGTCTTGTAAAGTTTAGCCAATGTCCATTTAAATGAGAGAACTCAAAAAACTTTTTCAGGGATGGAGAGAGAAGATAATTTATTCTGCAAATCTCTCATGAGCTATAAAGTAGGAATTGTAGCATTTTTATTCAGTAAAAAATAATCTTCATCATAGTCATTTGGTTGACAGAGCTCAAAGCCTAGTATTTGTTTGCACTGATGTACAATTTATTTATGTCCAGGAGGCACAGTGGTGGATATTCATATACACAGTGAAGACACAGGAAGGTTCAATAGTGTTAACCTCCTGGGCAAAGGAGAAACCTATGTCATGTATGGGTTAAGCTACAGGGGTTTCAAAATGCAAAAGGCTAGCTGAGAAAAACAAAATTCGCTGAGAACTTCATCTCAAATAAAAATGTCCAGCCTCATTCCTGGAAATTCTGATTTGTTTAGGTAAGGCCCAGGAATCAATATGTCCACAAAAATTCTGCAGCCAATTCTGACACTTGACTGATTCCGATGTTTGGAAACTAATAGTAAAATACCCAGGATCACTTGTCTGCATAGTAGGAGAGCTGGAACATGAACCCATACCTCTAATTCTTAGACCAGAATACTTTCTTCCATGTCTGAGAAAATTCGCATTCCATTTCTCACCTCCAATCAGCCTTCCCAGAGGTCTGAAGAGTCCTTCTGATACTGAATGCAACATGTTGGATGGGACACAAGGAGAAAGACTACTTTACTCCTGCCAAATAGGCTATGAGACCAAACAAAAACATCTATCCAGAAACTTCCAACGGCCCTTTATGGGTACAGCACAACTGCTTTATCATAAATGAAAGGAACTGATAGGTTGAATCTACAAGAACTGCCCCCAACCAGTCCGTTCCACCAGCAAAAAGAAATTCTTAACAATCTATTGGAAGTGCCACCAACTGCACAAATAAGAGTTGGTAAATGGCTATATTTTTTTTAAATGGTAGTCTGGGTGTCTAACATTTCAGAGTGAATGGCACTTCTGTTATCTCAAACTTTCCATTCCTTCCAAAGTGATTCAGGATGAGTTTTTCACCATGCATGGTGGAAAAAAATACTAATAAGAAACTATATCATCCCTCGTACTTAAAATAGCTGGGAGTGTAACCCATGTAAATGTGAAAGTACCAGATATCATAGTTCGGCTTCACACTGAGATCTTCTGGACTTCTGTCAACACCTAACTTGGGTTTTAGTCATCAAGAAAAAGAATGGAGATCTGCCAAGATTCCACCTTTTTGGGGGTAACATGAGCAGCTCAGATAATAAATACTCCAGGTCTCTGGCATAGCTAAAATACAAAGGCTTACAAAACATAGCCTCATGCCCCACGCAAATGCTTTCCAAAAGCTAGGTGCTGCTAGACATGCAGGATATCATGGTGTCGCAACTGGACAATGCTCCTATCTCCAGAGCTTTGTACATTTCACAGTACATAGGGAGAAAAGCATTCTAAAAATTAAGAACCACCAATCACACACAACTTAAAATCTGAAGTCTTTTCTTTCTAATGCTGAGACCTCAATTCGCTGCTAAAAATGGAAGATGTTTCATATCCATTCAGGATTCTCCACATTTTTTTTAAGCTGGACCTTCAACAGGTACCAGGAAAGACTAATCTCAATGACTGATTAGATAAAAATCAAGGAGAACCTTAATAAGTTTCCCAATATATCAGTATTCTCCAAAAATCCATACCAAAAATGACAACCTGGGTGCAGGAAGAAAAAATTAAAACATTTCTTCATATATATTTTATATTATCACTTTCATTTTTTATTTTTGTACATGTTATATAATAGTATAGTTGCACATGTACATAACTTATAAATCAAATGAAAATGTGTTGAGAAGGTTTTCTTGAAAGAAATTAACTAGGAAGAAGGATCAAAAATGTTTAGAGACCTCTGTAACATACGAACAATGCTCTTCCAGGCAATTTTCATCAGCAGATTTTTTTTAAGTTGGTTATTTTTTTTTTACCAAAGTGTGTCTCACTTATGTATACTCCAACTAAGAGGAATATCAAGTTCTTACTAAAAGATATTTTAAACTAAGGATATGAACTTTGCCATTTCCTCATTTTATGACCACGACTGATCTCCATTTTCCACAGATGCCATTATGGGTTGGCACAATCTTAACACTCAATTCCTTTCAAGGAAATCGCCTCTGAGAGCCAAACCATTGAAAGGTTATGAAGCAGATAAAGTTGAAGTGCCCCACACTCAAGTTTTCTGTTTTTCATATCAAGCTTCCTTTCACTAGACTGTACTCTAGAATTCTTGCTTACTCTGTCCAACTGTGGAATCCCATTCACATCTAACTGCCATGTTTTAAAGGGCTTTGAGAAATTCATCCCTTAAAGTAATTAATACGGCATGGCAAGATGCTCCACTGAGAGTATTTTAAAAGAAAAAGCAATTTTTAAAAATCTAACACAATGACAAACTAATGACAGAATTCAGACATGAGTGTGAAAGGAACTGGAATAAACTTTTTAAAGGTAGAAAGCCCTTCTGTTTGTACTCAAATAATTGTTCCAATCACAGGGCATGCTCTGGCTGTTTTTCTAGACATTATAACAGATCAGAGAAAATTCAAAAGCCTTAGACCACCATCACTTAACAATTACTGCATGTCTAGCACACGTCAACCAAGATGCAAAGTTTCCAACATTGTGTTGAAATAAAGACAAAAGTACAAACTGTAATCTAAGGAGCAGTGAATGGGTACACCTGTCATGGTTTAACAGGCAACCTTACACATAGCAGTAATGATTTATGGTGGCCACATGGCATTTATAGCTGCCCAGCATCCTGTCCCACTTGTTTGGTAAAGTACCTGATTTAACCTTGAATAACCAGCCTCCTTCACTTTCAGTTCATGAGGTTATGGTGTTGTCACTACCTCCAGACATGGAAGTACGACCCTGGCCAATCAGGAAATCCATCCTTCTGGTCACAAAGACTAACTCAGGAATGTGCTTGTGCCCCAAGACAATCAAGTAAGGGTTATCCCTATTCCTTCAACTGAAACTATTAGGTTAAAATGAGTCTCTTTAAACTAAGGTTTGAAAAGCTGGTAGGATGTAAATCTGGAACTTCCTGGATCTATCCGAGAAGAAAGCCAAACTGGAGGAAACAGTAAAGAAAGAACAGAGGACTAATGAGAAGGAATAACAAAGAAAGAGGGAGCCAGTGTTTATATGACATTGAGCACCTGTATCAAATCATTCCTGAAGTCATGATAGCCCTGGACTAACCCTGGACAAGGACTTCACGAGGGCCAATCAAACTCCATTTTTTCTTAAGCCAGTTTGATGTACCCTGGGATACTACAGCTGGTTTTGTAACATTTAAAAAATATCAGTAATACTGGGGAAAAAGTCAAAGTTTCAGCCTAAGACCTACAATTCATAAAACCTAGCACCCATCTATTTTCCTATTTTCTCTTTGTTTTGGCTAGGCACACTCCCACCCACAACATCTCCCAGGTCTCCAGAGCTGGACTGGCTACATGCTAAGTTTCGCCAATTAGATTTAAGTAGATAACAGAAGTGCCAATCACTCTGAAATGTTAGACACCCAGACTGCCATTTAAAAATATATATATCCAGGTGGGTGGATCACGAGATCAAGAGATGGAGACCATCCTGGCCAACATGGTGAAACCCCGTCTCTACTAACAATACAAAATTTAGCTAGGCATGGTGGTACACGCCTGTAGTCCCAGCTACTTAAGAGGCTGAGGCAGGAGAATCACTTGAACCCAGGAGGTGAAGGTTGCAGTGAGCGGATATCCCGCCACTGCACTCCAGCCTGGTGACAGAGCGAGATTCCGTCTCAAAAAAAAAAAAATATATATATATATATACACACACATATATATATACACATATATTTATACACATATATATACACACACACGTATATATACACACACATACATATATACACACATGTATGTGTGTATATATACATGTATATATGTATGTGTATATATATAAACACACACACGTGTGTGTGTGTGTGTGTGTGTATCCATTTACCAACTCTGATTTGTGCAGTTGGTGGCACTTTCAAAACATTCTTAAGAATTCCTTTTTGTGATGAAACAGACTGGCTTTTTTTTTTTTGCCTGTTTTTTTTATTAATTCAAATACAACTGACTACGGCAACTGTACTATAGCATAATATAAATTAAAGATCAAATATATACATCTCCATGGTGGTTCTAGGTGAAGAAAAATAGGAAAGAACAAAGATCCTCAAGAGTCTTCTAAGACAACCCCAAGAACACCACCGAAACTGTTTTCTGGAGTTCTACGTAAGACTCCATTTCAACATAACTTAAAGTTTACATCTTAGGAGATTGTGGGATCCTCAGCTGGAGAAGGACATGGGGTGAGAGGTATTGTGAAGTGAGTCATACGAGCAGGAGGAGCTTCATACGACCCATCTCATAGTACCTCCTGAGGGGGAGGCAGTTCCTATAGATTCAGCCTATCGGTTCCTTTTGTTTATGACAAAGCAGTTGTGCTGTACCCACAAAAAGCCATGGGCAGTTTATGGATAGATGTTTTGGGGTGGTTTCATAGCCCATTTGGCAGGAGTGAGTAGTCCTTCTCATTTGATTCCATCCAAAACACTGAATTCAGTATCAGAAGGGCTTTTCAGACCTCTGGCCAGGCTGACTAGAGGTGGGGAAGAGAATGTGAATTTTGTCAGACATGGAGGAAAGTGTCCTGGCTTAAGAATGAGAGATGTATGTGGGCTCATGTCCCAGCTCGCCTACTAAACAAACAGGTGATCTTGAATGTTTTAGTATTCATTTCCAAACATGGCTGAGTATCAGAATCAGCTACAGAAAATCTCCTTCAAATGATCCCCTTCTCTAAACCTTCTGCCACCATGTCTCCTGTAATCTGGCTGCACTGGCTGGAGCTTCAGAAGCCATCCTGAACCATGAGAATGAGGGCCAGACTCAGGGATGAAACTGGTATGTGCTTGGTCCTTCATGACCTGGTCCAATCTGCTCCAGGAGGGCAGAGATGTTTACATGTTTTATTCACATATTGTCTCTCCAGCACATAGTAGAACAAAATAAATATTTGTTCAGTGAGTAAAGTTGGTGTCTGTCTCCCAACAAATATTCTACCTCATAGAATCTAATAATACTAGAACCTTAGAGTTGGTGCACCCTTATTCAAACCATTTGCTTGAATCATCCAGAGACGGAGAACTCTGGGCTCTAGGGATCTACGACAGTTCCTTAATTCTAAGAGGAACTTTCCCTCCACATGTTAAGATTTCCCAAGTCAGAAGAGATCATATAATCAATGAATATATTTTAGTAAGTTTCTTTCTCCACCAAATAGCTGTCTTTTTTTTTTTTTTTTGAGATGGAGTCTTGCCTCTGTCTCCCAGGCTGGAGTGCAGTGGTGCGATCTTGGCTTACTGCAACCTCCACCTCCCAGGTTCAAGCAATTCTCCTTTCTCAGCCTCCATAGTAGCTGGGTTTATAGGCCCGGGACACCATGCCTGGCTAATTTTTGTATTTTTAGTAGAGACGGGATTTCATCATGTTGGCCAGGCTGGTCTTGAACTCCTGACCTCATGATCCACCTGCCTTGTCCTCCCAAAGTGCTGGGATTACAGGCGTGAGCCACCGCGCCCAGCCAATAGCTGTCTTATAATCAATGGTGAACTGGACTCAGGGAAATACACCTGGTAGACGAAAACCGTGGCATCAGGACCAAACACGGCCCCTCAAGAGCTCAAATGAGTTACAGTTTGGTAATTCAGAAATCTAGGGATAGGAGAAACCCACTAGATAAAAAAGCAGAGGAAGAAATATTGATTCATTTAGTATCTTAAGTGAAAATCCACAGACCACAACAGATAATAGCATTAAGCCCTGGAGCCAGGATCCCTGGGTCAAATTCCTAGCCCTGTCATTTCTTAGCTGTATCACTTGGGCATGGTTTTTCACCTATCCAAGCCTCAGTTTTCTCAGCTGCAAAATGGGGGTGGAAAGACATATCTTCTTCATAGAGCAGTTGTGAAAATTAAATGTGTTAATACAAGCACAATACTTAGCATAGTTCCCACAAACCATGTGGACATGAGTAAAAGTTAGGCAATGAATTCTTCTAGTCTGTGTTTTAATTCCTGAAATGGTATCTGCTGAACATCTTAATATCTAAAAACGAGTCAAAGCTGACAAGTTACTTTCTAGGGAGCCAAAATTCTAGAATGCTGCCTTCTGCTATCATGTTCCTTTTCTTTCCTAGAGGAAAATACAAAACAATTAATTCACAGTGTGTGCTCTCCTAAAAGAATACGCACAGAAAAGTTAATGGGCAATAACTCAGTGAACAAGTTTTGTCAAACGTGTTTGTGAAGAATTTCATTCTGAGAGTGTATAAGGGAAGCATGCTCTTACGACAAGTATTTTAGTTAACTAAAAGAATGAAATTCAAAATTAAGAATTAATTTGGCTGTGAATTCAGGTTTGACATTACTACCATTCTTACGTAGAATCAGAATAGCAAGTTTCATTTGTTCATGCCATCCATTATTAATATTAAAAAATTAGTAAGTTAGAGTATATTTTTGTAGAGAATGAATCACAAAGAGTAGACATCATCTCCCCAGCTAGTATCTCATTAATAAGGCAAAAATTTATAACATTTCTAGCATAGTGACATTTTAAACACATAATTATATATACTTTGTTTAGAAAATGCTCTAACATTTTATAGAGGTGAGTAATTAAGCTGTTATGACGACATAAAGAATGAAAAAAATCTAAAGTATCTGTTAAAACAAACTGCAGCAGAAATAGAAGCTCAAGAAGTTAGAAATCATTTTTAAAACTACCTTTTATAAGACCTTTTAAAGATGTATCTACTGAAAATGATGAACTTTAACCCACACTTAAACTTATGGTAATTATATTTATATTTTTTAAGAATCAAATTCTAAAAATAGATCTGCTACATCTAGTATTTTTCCATTATTCTTGCTGTCTTTAAACACACCTTCACAAGCTGCTGAACATAATGCCTTTCTGACTTAATCAGAACCTCTCCCATGACCCAGGAACGTTCAGTAAATAATGATTAAGCTCCAGAGGTAGCTTTTGCATAAGTTGATTTGCTTGAATGCCTATTCACTTGGGGACACAGCTTTTAGCACTGTTTTCAAATCTTATCACCTAACAGTGAAAGTAAATGTTAAAGGATGTGGGGGGAACTATACTCTGTTTAGTTTTTCTCCATTTTAATATTTCTTTGAAATTGCCATTTTTTAAACTTGTTCTACATTTATATGCCAGGCAGACAATTCTGATGTTTGGATGTCTGTTTCCCCTTCCAAGAGAAAAAAATCAATATACAAGAATGCAAAGAAGATGTTCATTAATGCAACTGTTACCATTCCACAGTCAGGAAAAAAAAAAAAAAAAGGTGGGGGGAGAAACCAAAAATTCACAGTGTTTACAATGGGAGAGTTTGGACAAATGTTACTACTGTATTAAACACACAGTTTTCCTGAAGAAAATCCTGTTTTATTCATAACAAAGCTGGGCTGCAGTCTATCTTGCAATCATAAATCAAGCTCTGCTCTAACTCAGATTTTTCAAGCAGTCGCGGTATTTTTGTCATTATTAACTTAAGACCAGTATTCAATTTTAAAGGAGAGGGCAAGGATATTGGGTTAGCATTTCTATCTACCACCCCCACCCCCACCCCCAAATTAGTTGTTATCCTTGTCATAGCCACCTACCAGAGGTTACAGCTGAAGCTGATTAAAGCCAGTGAGAAGTAACAGCTTCAGTATTTTTAACTCCCAATAAACCCTTCTCTTCCTTTATCCTCCCCCTTAAAGAGAAAAAAAACTGCTCCTCTTAAGTGGTCCCGGGATTATTTCCAGAATAAAACTTCACTTACAGATACAAGCTTTCAAAGGAGCATGGCATGAACATCTGAACTCTAAGCGCCTCCATCTTTTTTCCTTTAAGGTGTTCTGCAAGCCCTTGGCGAAGAGTGAAAGTCAAAGTTAGTTCTGGCACTGGCTGTGTCACTAGGGGTGGCTCCTGATAAGGCCCTGGAAACTCCAATCCAAACACAGCTCTGTGCTAGAACGGTGCCTGGTTTCTGTCTGCAACAGCAGACCTGTTTAATCCAGTACCTACTGTACCTGCAGGACAAAAACGCTGCCTCACACCACAATGAGGGCTACTCAAGGACCCAGGCACGGCCAGGGAGGCAGCCCAGCAGCCAGGCAAGCACCTCGGGAAGCTTATTTAGCCTTACCCAGCTCCGGTACTGGCTGAGGCTTGCAGAGACTGCACATTATTAGAGAACTTAAAAGGAGAGGTAATTTCACATACCAGTGAATTGTCAACACTTACTGGAGTCACAGAATCTAGGAGGGAGGACTGTGGAACTGCTTGTGTCCCCTCTCAGTTTGGGAGCTCTCGGGCATCAACTCATCACACAACTCTAGGTGTTTTGCATCTGTGCACAGGCATTTTTGGAGCTTGATAATTGAATATGCCCTCCTTGCTGACAGGCTAGAGATCCAAAACAGCATTCCTTACCCTCAGACCCCAAGAATATTAGGAGGGTTGTCCTTGCCCGGTTCTGGTGGAAGTAAAACACAAACTGCTCCTAATTATGGCCACCATCTTTCAGGACACACAAATCGTTAGGCCATAAACTGTGTATTCTTAAGACTGTCATCCAATCTAATTCTGAACACATTGGTATACAAGAAGAAAAAACAGCAATACATGTTCTCAAAAAACACTTTAAAATGCAGACATGACAACATCAATATTATCAAATATTCATGCAGCTCCTACAGGACTCAGCACACCAAAGATGCCCTACAGAGTTGTGAAAATATTGTATGTATGTTTCTCCCTACACACAATTCAAAGGTCATAACAAAGACATCTGACACTGACTAGCTGCATACACTGGGCAAGTTACTTCACCTCTCTGTGCCTACATTTATCTCCAAAGTAAATGGTTGGAAAATAATGCAACCTCTTCAGCCATAATCAAACTCAAATTACGTGATATAATGAAATTATCTTTTTTTTTAACTTCCCTCTAATGCTAGGAAATATCTAGCCAGGAGTCTCGGCCAAACTATTTCTGGTTCTGTTTATTCTCTGCTCATTTTATTCATTCTTTCTTTCTTTTGTTCAATAAATATTTATGGAACACCAACTGTGTCCCAGGCATTGTGTAAATTCGTGGAGTTTACAGTCTAATGGGAAACACATATTAAATAATCACATAAATATGTAATGAAAAATGTCATAACTGCTGCAGAGAGGTGAAAAAGTTAAAATTTAAGGGTCAGGAAAGGCTTTCCTTAGGCAGGGACTTCTGGTCTGAGATCTGAGTTGGGGAGAGGAGGAGTATAGAAAAAATGCTTTCCAGGCAGCAGTAACAACATATGTAAGAACTATGAGGTGGGAAGTTGGCAGGCAGACTCACTATCACTGAAGGACATAGTATGAAGGAAAAACATGGTGCCCGTGAGACCTACACAGTGACCAGGACCAGACCATGAAGGATCTGGTAGGCCAGGGAAAGGTCACTGATTCTGTTTCAAGATGAACAAGAAACCACAGAGAGATGGCAAGCAGGGGAACGATGAGCTCAGATTTGAGTTTTTAGAAAGGTCTCTCTGGTTGCTATGTTGACAGCCAACTAGAAAACTGTCAGAGTTAGCTACTGCAATAGTCCTGGTAGGAGGTGATGGTAGCTCATGGGAAGGGCAGATGTGCAAAGTGGAGAAAAGTGGGCAGATTGCTCGTAAAACTAAGGACCAATAAATACGATTAGAGGAGAAAGTTCATCAACAGCAGTCATTGAGCACTTTCTACATGCCAGGTACTGTACCAGGTATTGGGGTAAACAGATGACTAAGATGTTACACTATTTATCTTACTAACCTATCCCACCTCTCTTTTCCTGCCTCTAGCACAGTTTGGCATGAAAATCAAGAACATAGATTCTGACGTTTATTTATCCAGGTTCAAATCTCACCACTTACTAATTCTATGACTTTGTACAAATTTTCTAAACTTTCTGGGCCCCAGTTCTTTCACCTGAGAAAGGAGAAATAAGTGACTACCCATAGGTTATTGTTAGAACTGAAAGAGATGACAAGTAATGTGTTCAGCATTGTCTCTGATGCATAATAAACGCTCAATTTTTAAAAAAGCTCTTACAATTATAATCATGGTTAGTGCTACCTGTCCTGTATTAATATTGACCAATCTAGAGAACTAAGAGAAATGAGACAGAGTGAAAAAAACAAATGAAAAATCAAGAAAGTGGAAGAGCAAGAAATAAAGAAAGGATAGGGAATAACCATATCAGAAACTTTAAGGGATAATTTTCTAAAAAATCAAGCCAGGGACGGTGGCAGATGCCTGTAATCCTAGCTACTTGGGAGGCTGAAGTGGGAGGTTTGCTTAAGACCAGGAGTTCAAGACCAGCCCAGGCAATGGAGACCCCATCTCTTAAAAATAAATTTTAATGAAATAAAATAAATAAAAGTTCAAGCCAGATTTTCTCTCTCACCTTAGGCACTATTTAAAGCTGAGTAAACCTACAAGGCACTCGGGTACATCTTAGAACTGAAACTCTGATTTATTACATGCTCACACACAGGGAAAATCTGTACCCTCCATGAGTTCTCAAATATTGATCACGAAACCAATGGTATCAATTCCAGCCCTTCCCGAAGGGGACATAATGTGGTGCCAAATATTCCCCTGGCAGGTTCAGCCAGTAACATCACCTGACTTTTTATGTTGGACAATCCACCGCCTCAAGAAATATTTCTATTGACAATTTACACCAGTACTTTAGAAAGATCTACCTTACAGTACAGTTCTAAGGGAACCTTCTTGGATACAGCAATGAAACGTCCACTAGCAAATGGACCAAAGCTTGGCTTAAATATGAACACAGGCCACCATATACAAAATTCATGAGATGTTACGTGCATTTCCCAGCACTAAAATACTGCTCCTCAAGTCATCACCCAAATTAACGAACACATGTCTTCTGGATATCAAGAACCATGTCCGTTTGGTTTAATGTTGTATCCCTAGAACTCAGCAGAATAAACAGTCCATGGCTTGATGAATATCTTTAAAATGAATCAACGTAATATGTAAGCAACTGTCTTGGGCACATCTGTACTATTCAGATGTGTTTCCTGAGTTTGTATACATATATGTATATGCATATGAACACACACACACACACACAGAGGGAAAGAGAGATAGAGAGAGATACCCAAATCCTAAGTTTAAACACAGACTAAGAATTTGTAGTGTGGTTGGGGAGGAAAAAATAATATCAGAAAAACTAAGCACAAAATGCAGAATAAAAACATCACCAGTACTCCAGTGCTTCTGCAATAATAAGTACTACTCTTTGCCCTAAATTGCAGCAAATCAACTACAGTCATCAGAATTCTTACTGACCCTTTAAAAGCTGAACCTTAACTAAAATGGGATTTAAAGTAATCAACCATCCAAGTGACAGCCAACTTTTTCCTTGGAAGCTAAACTGGGTTTCAGAATCTTTTTGGAAGGAAAAATTCAATCACTGCTTTGAACAGGTTAGAAAAGAGATAAGGGATTTTACTTGTTATCCTGTCCAAGACTTAGCTGAAGAAAAGTAATGCTACTGTTTTATCATAGCTCAAAATTCTTCTTATTTTATTTAGGCATTAAATGTTTTATTGCCCAGCCCGAGCACACCATATTTTCTTATATTCTTTCTTTTGATAGTCATTTTTCTTTCCAGTAAACTCATACTTCTACTCAATAGCCCCACAACAGTTAACACTTGAGAGCTTACTATGTGCTGGGTCCTATGTTGGCCCATGAACTACACACAATTTAAGAAGCATCTACTTGGTCTTGGAATGTTTCATTATGATCCCAGCCAATGGTTCCCCAACCTGTCTTCCTATCAGAAGCACTTGAGGAGCCTTCTCCTTACCCCACCTCCTTAAAATAAATACAGGAGATTTAAGAAGTATAAAGTTCAAGGATCTTTCCCCAAACAAATGAGTGAGTGAGATTCTGCAGGGGTATGGTTTAGAATTCTGTGTTTCTAAAAAATGATTCTCATAGGGGTCTAAAGTGAAGTCAAGTCTAGAAACCACTAATATATAATATAACATTATAATATATATAGCTATATATAATATTATCTATGTAAATGGTCTGTTAAGAGTGGCAGGAAAATACTCAAGAATGGAAGCTCCTTTTATTTATTGAATAAAGAAGTTACTCATACATTTTAATTCTTTAAAATATCCATGTGGAATGTTCAATGAAAGCCTTATTGTGGGGTAATTAAAGAGTTTCATCAAAGTAATAATGAAACTCACAAAGTACTCTCAAGAGTAACACACACATCTCTTTTGTCCAGATGGCCTCACACTCACATTCTGGGAAAAGTCACATGCCACCGAAAGGCCCTTCAATCCAAACATTTATTAGTTTTCCCAGCATGTGTGTGAGAGGCACTGTTCTCAGCGCCATGGGGAAGACAAGGATGAAGATGCAAGAGGCTCTGCTTTCCAGGCGTTCACTCCAGAGAAACCCAAGACTCACACTCACATGCCAATGGGAAGAGGGTACAGGGAGGACAGAATGCTAGAGCCCTCTTCTCTCTCCTCTGCAACTCCTTCCCTGGCCTGGCGCCTCCTGACCTGGCAGATGATGTTTTGCAGGTCTTATATTTCTTCCTCAGAGAGGTCTTCCCAGACCATCCTTCCTAAAGAAGAAACATCTCCTTTTGTTTTGTGCTCTTGAAGCAAGCTTCTTTCTTTTATAGCACTTAATTCAACTTGTAATCCTTTTATTTATCTATTTGTCCTGTGTTCTTAAGGGCAGGTTCCTTGTACTTACCTTTTTCTCAGTGCCTGGCACATAGTAAGTATTTAAATATTTGCTGGATAGATGGATAGAAGGAAAGAAGAATGCATGAATGACTGACAAAAATGAAAAAAGGTCAGATAAGGAAGGATCTATGAAGTATAATTTGAGGGTAGCATTTAATTAATTATGAAGAAAGTCAATAGTCATAAATGGGATATACAACTGTGTACTCTTTATTTGCAAGCTTTTAGTGGCTGAGCACAACTCACTTTCATGCAGAAAGTATTGGGGTACAAATTTGCAAGGAACTGGTCCAGCGGCTCTAATTTGAAACCATCACAGCATGACTGAAGAAAATTTTTAATGACTACCTACTTGCAGAAATAACTGTGCAGTAGCACTCACTCACGTTTATCTCTTTCATCCTGTTTCTATTTTTTTCTCCTACCAAGAACAGATCTGCCTGTAACAGTGATATTACAGCATCCTCTCAAAGACAGCTCATTGTCCCCGGAAACCAAGGAAGCCCTTCAAGGTTGAAAAGGGAAATAAAGAAGAGACTAAGATGACCCCACATAAACCTGATTGGGATGCAGCCCAACATTATTAAAGAATGGTTAAGATATTTATACAAACATCCAGAAGGAAAAATTAAATGTTTTTAAAAACTGTTTCAAAGAATCTGTCCAGAGGATAAAAATATAGTCTACAAAGAGGCATCTCAAATTCTGTCTAAAGTGAATTTTTTTTTTTTTTTTTTTTTTTTTGAGACGGAGTCTCGTTCTGTCGCCCAGGCGGGAGTGCTGTGGCGCGATCTCCGCTCACTGCAAGCTCCGCCTTCCGGGTTCACGCCATTCTCCTGCCTCAGCCTCCCGAATAGCTGGGACTACAGGCGCCCGCCACTGCGCCCGGCTAATTTTTTTTGTATTTTTAGTAGACACGGGGGGTTTCACCGTGGTCTCGATCTCCCGACCTCGTGATCCGCCCGCCTCGGCCTCCCAAAGTGCTGGGATTACAGGCGTGAGCCACCGCGCCCAGCCTAAAGTGAATTTTTAAGCAATTAACAAACAAAAATATATAAAACATTAGCATGACTCTTTAATATAATAATCAATACCACGGATTAATCCCTTACCTTAAACTCTTTGATATTCTCTCAGTGTTCATCTCAAAATAAATACTTGTTCCTGCATTAAAGGTTATGTAGAGGCTTTTCTTTGTTATCTATAAATGGCAACCAGTATTTGCAATAAGAAAA
This sequence comes from Homo sapiens, assembly GCF_000001405.40. NCBI lineage: Eukaryota > Metazoa > Chordata > Mammalia > Primates > Hominidae > Homo > Homo sapiens. Next base: position 69,860,106 of record NC_000003.12, on the reverse strand, counting down.
CTACAATCTAGAATATAAACAGAGTAGGTGAGACAACACAAAGTTGGAGAGAACACACTGATGAGATTATGCTGCTTTGATAATATTTTTAAATGAGAAATTTAGTAAAAATGCAATTTACTATCTTATCAAGGTAAGTAAACAGGAAAAGATAAGGCCGTCATCAGTGTGGGGGACAAAGTTATTCACAAGATGACTTTACAATAAATAAAATCTCCACATCAGCACCTGAAAATCATGGTGTTTTTATCTCAATTTATGGGTTAACTCTTTACTCATTTAAAAAGAAAAATGTGGACATATATTTTACTGTTAGTAACTTTTTTTAAGTTATGAAATATTGAAGGACAATAAGAATATGAATGTCTCTGCCTATCTTTTAGGGGTGTTGTGGATTGAAACAGGAGAGTGCATCACCATCATCTTCATCTACAACATCAGTTTCTTTCTTCTTCCAAGCAGGAGTCAAGGTATTATAATATTTTAAAGCAACATGCAATTCAGCTGTAGAAGTGGCCTCCATGGACCACCTTGGCTAAGCTCACAGCCGCTGAGATGAACCCACCCTTCCCTTGATTCCATCTCATTAGGAGATCCCAGGACATCAGCAGTTCCATGGACCATCTAAATCCATTCTGGTCCAAGGAGGAGCCAGAAGAAGGGACTGAGATAAAGAAGACAGGGATATTCTGCCATCTAGATTTTATAGTCTATTCATATAAATTAAATGTTTGTATTCCAAAGAGTGAGCAGAAGGTAGAGAGACACTGTTTCTTGCAGACAACGATGCCATTGTGGAAGGTGGTATGGAAGTCACTGGTGTGCAAAACCTCCAATTTGTATAAGATGTGGTAAGGATCCAGGGCAGTGGTTTCAACCTGTGGGAAGCAAACTTCTGAGAGGTCTGCTATTTAATAAATGTGTCACTCCTATGGATATAAACATGGCACCATTTTTCCAACTGGAGACAGGATAGTGTGGTGATTCAATGCAGACACACACACCACCCTTCGTATCCTAGTTTTACTCTGGGTAAGGCATTCGACTTATGAGTCTCAAGATCTGCATCTATAAGATGGGAATATTAATACTACCTATTTCATAGATTAATACTATGATTGAATGAGATAAAGTATGAAAAGTACTTAACATGGTACAAGAAAAATAGCACTCAATCAAGGTGACACAAGGAGCGAGGACTCTATTTCAAAACATTGTTAGGTAATGAAAAGTCAGCCCTTAGAGCCTCAAAGAACTTTAAATTCTAGGGCAAATAAAAGTTATTATTTGGAGACAATGCTTAAGGTAGTTTTGAATTTTGATATCTTAAGAGGTAGTCCAGATTCAAAATACATGTAAGTTCAGGAAAGGTATAGATAAATCTGTGAATAATATATTCATAGTGCATAACTAAAGACTAAATATTGATGGTATCTGTAACTTCTGATAGTAGACAACAAACTCTGTCTTTTCAGTGGTTGTCTTAGCTACAAACCAAATTCTAGTCCAGGAAACCTTCTGCTCTGATTCAGTGTGTCAATCATAATTTTTGTTTATATTTTTTCTATGTAAACATACCCAGGAGTCACACAGGAAGTCGTGTATTTAAATAAGTAAAACTATAAAAAATCAAACCTCTTTATGCTAAATAAATCACCTTATGTTAAATTTTTGCTAACAGTCAAATTTCTCAAACTTTTAAAGCATCTCAAAACTTACTCTCATACTAATGACATCCTGTTACAGTTATGCTGAGCAAACAGGATTTAAAATGAGAAAAATAATATTTGCACAAAAATCCTTCCTGTCTGTTGATTAATCATAATAAACTCTAATCAATCATAATAAACTCAATGCACATTAGCTTTCTGCATCTAATTGACACTCTAGGGAGTCTTACCTATAATCAAAGTGTATATTAATGTTGATAGTAAAATATTCAAATAACCAATATTTTAAATTAATAGTCTGTAATTCCAATGAATATTACCATGAAATAATATAAAAGACAAATTAAATCCTTACTTAAAATATTGTCATGTGTTCTTAAAAAAATAATGCCTAAAAAAACTACTAAATTCTCCCCTTAACATTTACTACATATTAATTACCTGCCAGATATAACAGGTAAGGCTGGTAATACAGATATAGAGAATAATATAAACCATAATTTAAGCTTATCTTGCTCCTAATATCAAACAATATTGGTTCATTTTTAAAAGATGTTAACAAAATCATGAATAAAAGAAGGAAGAGTCAAAATTATTAAAATCCATTCATCCACTAAACAAATATTTATTGAGCACCTCCTATGTCCCAGGCACTGTTCAATAGGCTTAAGATGCATAACTGATATATCATGATTATTAAGAGAAAAATGTTCTGGGGTAATGCTGAATGCTCAAATTATTTATTAATTTAAACAGACAATGTGAAAATTGAATGCATTTGCAACCTTTAAACACCATCTACAATGATATTCCCATTAACAAACATGTTTAGTTCCTATACTTGATCTAGATCACTGCATTTTCATTTATTAGCGTGTTGGGAAAGAAACATGAAAATTTGAAAAAAAAAAACCATGAGATCACGTCTCTGCCTTATGTGAAAAAAGAGGAAGGAGGAGAGAAGAGACATGGAGAATTGTTTATCATATTGTCACACTGATAACTGTATCTCATATTTGCATATCATACCCCATGTTTATTATTAAACAAATCTTTTTTATTTAAAGAAAGAAACTGGGGGGGGCAGGGATTGAGATATGAGTATCCTGTGCAAAATCAAGAGGTTAATGTGCCACAGGTCTGGAGTTTGAAACTCCAGAGCCCACACTTTCCTCTCTATGGTTCTCTGTTCCAAGTTTTTGTAATCTACCCAATGAACACAAAAGCAAACTAATTCTAAAATTAGAACCTTGCACTGGAGTTGCCTCTTTACTTGTCTGTACCCCACACTAGATTCTGAATTCCATAAAGGCATGAACCATGTCTGTTTAGGTCACTACTTCATTCTTTCACCACATACAATTCCAGACACAGAGAAGGCACTCAATAACTATTCACCAATAGGTTAAATGATTAATTAATTGACCATAATGGCTTCTCTTGGCCACCTCTAACGATGATCTGACTTAAAAAAAACAAAAACAAAACAGAACAAAAAACACACACAAAAAAACAGAGAATGAAGCAGACTTCCCTGAATATTATACCAAGCATGAATTCAATTAATGGCATTTACTAGAAAGAAACAATGTTTGTCCTCAAATAATTTAATCTAGTTAGAAAAGAGACTAAGAAAATATGAGATTACAAGGAAGAAAAAAAAAGTAACCCAACATATCAACACAATTTATACTTCTTAATAGAAGAAGAAAGTTCTCAAAAAAGGAAATAATTTTTCAAAAAGGCTTTCTAGGGGAAACAAGGTCTTTGGAAATTTGGGGGAGAATGATAGGCTTCCTTTGAGAAACATGGTAAATCTTGAGCAAAAGTTCCCAAAGTGTGGGATACAAGATGATCTCAAATAGAGATGTACAGACTTCACATTAACTAAGCATGGAATCACACAGTGAGAAGGGCCCTTTCAAATTTCTTCCATCTAAGGAAAGTCTCTGTTTGATGCTAATATGTCTTCAATCTCTCAACACTTGCCCTTTGTTCACAATACAGGTCAGACCTCAGACACCTGCCGGTCCAGACAATATACCTAGCAAGAATCTAACAATTTTCTTTCAATTTCATTATATTGATTTTAATACCTATTTCCATTCGTGGCTTCCATGTATGATAACATTTCCTTTAAAACATGTAATATTTAAAGTTCCATGTGGTTTTTGCAAGCAAAAGTAATGAAGTTAGCATGAGAATAGCTAAAATTTAGGAAACATTGATTGAGAGATATAAAGAATGTGCTAGAAACTTTCAGTGGAAACGAGATTAAACACAGCCCCGATAGAGTGGCCCACTCTATTGTGGTGAGAGGCTAATAGCTACAAAGAATTTCAGTCTGATAAAGAAAACCATGTAGGGTTCTGAAATCACAGTAAGTGAGCCCAGCCCCAATCTCTCACTAACTGTGGGAAATGAGCATGACTCTCAGATATGATTCCATACAGAAAAAGTGGGAAGCTGGCCAAGTAGGACTGAGAATATCACCATGGAAGTTACATGCTGCGTTTGTTGATAGTGCCTGTAAATAAGACCTCTAGCCCAGGGGAAAACAAAACAAAACAAAAAAAATCAAGGCTGTCAGAACAAAATGTCAGGCATGCTACAGGTTGATGCTTCGATATATAAAGACCTCTCCTCTAATGCTGTGAAGGTCACTCTGGCCTGTGTTATCTCCTGGAACATAAATTTAGCTTACAGTCCATTTTTGTTTTGGTTGTTATCTAATTTCATAATGAAGTACCAAAAGAGATTCCTAGTACAATTTTTCCCCCAGTATTAGCTATATAGTACTTCATACACTAGATGGAGCCAGCTTTATAATGCTTTGGGATTCGTGAGCAGGTTTTGTGTTGTACTTGAAAAAAAAAATCATTACACAAAGTTACGGGAGAGCTGTGTGCTAACTAAATATACTTTAAATGTTTTAAATTTTCATTTCAGAGGTCAAAAGGCCCTATCATTTTAGCATTTTCTATAACTCTTAAGCTTAAATTAATATCAAAGTATCAATAATACTATAAAATGTGTATTTCAAATATATAAATCTTGTAACTCATTGGTATTTAACTTCTTTATTAACATGTATTTATTATTATAGATTTTTAAACTGACAATTTCAAAAAGATATGTACTTTTTTTTCTTTAAGTGTTTTTTTTTTTTTTTTTTTGCTTATGGGAAATGGAAGCAATTTTTAAATGCAATGCAATGAGCATGATCATCTCCCTTGGACTTATAAAGACTGCCTCTGGATTAGGAGGGGTTTAGGGCAAAGAGAGTCACACGTAGGCAGAATGTAGACCATGAGAGCAGAAAAGTAGTCCCTGGGGGGCGGGGGGTAAAACTGATAACATGCTTACAACATGAGGGGGCTGGTCTCCAGGACCAGTAAAAGTCAACTACCAAAAGACAAAAGAAAAATACCACTGTTCACAGTCACCAACCTAGGGCTGGGATGGGGCAGCAGGGAAGTACTAAGAGGAAGGTAACTTCTGTGATTCTCTCCAGTCAGTCATGGTAACTCACTGCCTTTTCACTGAATTTTAATACTTTAGAGGAGTAATCCTCAACAAGGGACAATTTTGTCCCCATGGGACATTTGACAGGTCTAGAGACATTTTTGGTTTTTGCAAACAGAGAAACAAGTGCTACTGGCATCTAGTGAGTAGAGGCCAGGGATGCTGTTAAACATCCTACAATGCACAGTATGGCCTTCACAAGAAAGAATATCTGGCTGCAAAGGTCAATATTGCCCAGATTGGAAAACTCTATTGTACAATAAGCACCTCTTTCATACAGAAGACAAAATACAGTCAGCCCCTCTGTATCCATAAGCTCCACATCCACACATTCTGCCAACCATGGATCAATAATATTAAAAAGCAAACAAATAAAAACAATGCAACAATAAAAAATAACACAAATAAAAACTCAATATAGTATAACAACTACTTACATGGCATTTATGTTGTACCAGGTATTAGAACTAATCTGCAGGTGATTTAAAGTATATGTAAGGATGTACATAAGATATATGAAAATACTACACCATTTTAAATCAGACACTTGAGCACCCATGGATTTTGGTATCCAAAGGAGTCCTGAAACCAATCCCCCAAGGATACCAAGGACAACTGTAGTTCCACCTCATTGTAAACATTAAATTATTAACAAAAAGTTTTAAGTCTATGGGACACAATACATGATTTACTTCAGTCTATCACATATGCCACAATATTAGGGTCAGTGGGTCCAGGGATTAATGATTAAGAGGGAAGTGATCAGCTGGGCTCGGTGGCTCACGCCTGTAATCCCAGCACTTTGGGAGGCTGAGGCGGGAGGATCACGAGGTCAGGAGTTCGAGACCAGCCTGACCAATACGGTGAAACTCTGTCTCTACTAAAAATACAAAAATTAGCCAGGCGTGGTGGCGTGCACCTGTAATCCCAGCTACTGGCAGGAGAGTCACTTGAACATGGGAGGCGAAGGTTGCAGTGAGCTGAGATCACACCACTGCACTCCAGCCTGGGCGACAGAGTGAGACTTTGTCAAAAAAAAAAAAAAAAAGACGAAAGAGATCAATAAACTGAGGAATAATATTAACACAATGCATCACTACACATCAGTAAACATGAGTGATATGCCTTTACATGGATAAAATCAAGACAGATGTGGAATGAAAAAAGAAGTCACATAGAATCTTGCCTTATGACCCCATTTATTTAAAGTTCAAAGCATAGTTTAGTGATGTAGTCAACGATTCTAAAAGTGTAATGAAAAGCAAAGGAGTGATTAGAACAAAAAGGATGATGGTTAACTAGGTAGGGAGTAAAGAGGAGAATGCCTCAAAGATGAGGCTTCCAGAGGGTTCTATTTTTTAAGATGGATGGTGGGCACATGGTTATTCATTTTATTGGTCTTTACTAAACGGACAGGTATTGCTTTCTATATGTATGATATATTTAATAATAATAATATTGAATATTGTTAGTAATGAAAAAGTTAAAAAATAAGCCATATAGGGAAGTAAAGAAATGGATACGGCAAGTATAAACTACTCTTTAAAGACATTAAGAAGGATAATAGTGAATTTTGGCATAATTGGCTAAGGTACCACCAGGGTCAGAGGTATCTCTTACTCTTCCTTCCCCTTAACCCTCTACCGAACAGATGCTTATCACATCTTATCTATCAACCACCATCTCTGTTCTCACAGATATTCTGACATGGTGAAACTCTGGCCTGGACTACTAGGTTGTTCTGACAACTTCCCCCAAAATATTATACACCTACTACTAGATAACACTTCCTAAAGCACGATTTTGCTGTTTTCAGGCAACTATGGTCACAAAATTAATGGTTCATCACTATACAATGAATGAATTTTTTTTTAATGTTTTATTTAGACTAGCAATCAAGCACCAACTTATCCTTCTGGACTTATCTATTGTAATGATTCAAACCAATATAAACAACTTATTCTCTAACTCTAGCTGTACACTCTTGCTTGGGGTGTTCTCTTGCCTGGAGTACTACTCTTCATGCACTCACCATCCCTATCAAAAAAACACTACGTATTCTTCAGTAAAATGAAAGGGAGATGTATTACCAAATGTTGGTGAAGAACAGAGCAAATGGCACACTCAGATGCTGCTCCTGAAGGTGTAAATTCACAGAAAGACTTTTGGAAAATGGTTTGCAGTATCTACCAAAAGCTGAACATGTGCATGCCTCATAACCTAGTAATTCCATTTCTTAACCCAAACCAGATAAATTTATATGTGTGTTCACCAAAAAGCATATAGCAATAATGTTCATTGCAACACTGCTCATAATAGTGCAGAACTCTAGGCAAACCAAATTCCCATCAACAGTGGAATGGATAAATGGTGATGTAATCATACAATGGAATATCCTATGAGAATGAACTACTGCTACATACAAACAAGGGATAAATCTCACATACATAATGTTAAGCGAAAGAATCCAGATATGAGAGTACATGCTGTATGATTTCATTTGTATGAAGTTAAATAAAACCCAGACATGATTAATCCATGGTGTTAGAAGTCAGGATAGTGATTATACTTAGAAGAGGGGTTGACTAGGAGGAGGCACAAGGGTGCTAGTGATGCTCTATCTTAGAGATTGGGTGCTAGCTATCTGGTGAAAATTCCTCAGGCAGTGCATGTAAGATGTGTATACTTTTCTGTGGGAATATTATATTTCAGTTAAAAGTTTACTAAAAATACTTTAAAAATCTACCTATTCTTTAAGACTATTCCTTGACAAACCTTCTTCACTTTCTTAACAATCTTCCTTGATCCCATCTAGATGCCTCTTTCTCCTCTAATGTCCCATAATATAATTATAATCTTAAAATCACCCTAAAATTGTTTGTATATGTTTGCCGAAAGAGATGGTTACATTACTGAGTGCATGGATCAGTATTTCCTTTAGGATTTCCCATAAAGCACTGCATTATAGCAGCTCACCAATAAATATTTGTGAGGTTTAAATTAAATTTATGAAATTTAAATTACATATATCGGCCTTTTCAAAGCAACATTTCTTTGTGAGCATGTGAGCATATTGGGTAAATGTTTTCATCTCCTTTTTTATTCTTTTACTTTTATTTAGATACACTAAAATTCACCTTCCGTTCGAGTTTTGAGATGCACAGAGCCATGTCACCACCAGCACAATCAAGATACAGAACAGTTCCATCACCTCAAAATACTCTCTTGTGCTACTCCTTTGTAGTCAAAACAGCCCCCATCTCCAATCCCAGAAACCACCTATCAGTTTTCTGTTTCTATGTTTTGCCTTTTCCAGGATGTCATATAAATGGAATCATATAGCATTCAGGCTTTTGAGTCTGTTTTTTGTCCCTTAGCAAGTGCATTTGACCTTCATCCACATTGCTACAGGTATCGGTAGCTTGTTCCTTTCTATCGCTAATTAGTATTCTATTGTATGGATAAACCACAGCTTGTTTATCCTTTCACTAGTATAAGGACATTCAGGCTGTTTCCAGTTTGGGGTAATTATGAATAAAAGGTGCTATCCATTTTTAAGATATACCAAAAAAAGAAAATTTGCAAATGACTGAGCCAAGGTCACAATTACCAATAATAAAAAGAAATGGTACATACTTTAAAGAAACCTATAGGAAAAGTATAAGTCAGTATTCCTATGTCAATAAAATCCAGCTCATAATATATTTTCTGTAAAGAGATTTTAAACTAACTTTTCTATATTTGGTACACATTAATGAGCCAGAGTTCAGAAGTATCCAACCAAAGCACCTTTCCAAAGGTTCCTTCTTGCCAATGTGACCCTGGTGACCAGACTATTATAAATAACTTTTATGTCTTGATCTATGTGTAACTATTCATCATTGCTGTGTAAGTCAGCAATGATGCCCAACCAGCCTCTGCCTTTTATCTGACCTACTGTACTCATTTGCAATGCACAGAGTGGGTGGCAAGTGATGGGCCCAGCACTTGGGGGCTCCATGAGCATGCAAAGAAACAGGCTACTTAGATGATTATGCAGAGGGGGTAACTACAGCTGCACTTATTTCTGTTGATTTAGACACAAAACAACATATGTCCAAATCCTCAGGGGCAGACTATCACAAAATTTCCATTAGCTGGCATTCTGGGTGCCTGTCTGGGGAGCCTGAGCCACTGTCTATCCAGGGTCAAGGCCACAGGGAATGGAAATGCCCAAGAAAAACATTTTAAGGAGGTAGCTGCCTTGCACCTGGCACCATAGTTAATGACAGCACATCGGTTCTAAGTCTTTAAGACTCAAAAGCAGCATGCAAACAATCTTTCCTTTGCAGGTTTTTGTTTCTCTGCAATAGTCACTAGGAAAATCATGAGAACCTCATTGTTTGGCCCCTTTCAAAAGGTTCTTAAGTAATAATAATAGCAGCTAATTATGGAAGGTATGCTATGTATTCCCAAGCTAAGCATTTTATATGCATTACCTTATTTTAATCTTCAATAACAACCTTCTACCTTTAATATTATTTTAGTATCCCTTTTACCAATAAGGAGAATGAGACTTTAAGAGACTGTATCACTTGCCAAACGGTTTGCAAAGAAGGAATTCAACCCAAGGCACAGTTGGAATCTAGATCCTATGTTCTTAAGCCACAGGCTATATCACCTCATTGTCTAACTAGTAACTACATTCATTCATCTGAACACTCCAAAAATATTATCCTATTATATCCATCTAGGGAAATAAACATAAATATGATATGCTCCTTTCCTCTGGGAGCTTATTACTTATGGGAGGGTGGGGGATCCTATAAACAATAAACACCTTGATCTTTTTGGTCAAATACTTTTCTGAGATTCATATGAAAACTACAGACTTCAGAGAAAATTCACACAGGCATAGACACAAAAAACTCGATTGACTGCTCAGACCACAGGTTAGGAATCCCTGGAATACTTAACTAGCTGACCACAAACTGCATGGAGTTTTGATTAAGATAAGAACAAAATATTATGAGAATTCGAAGGAGAGACCCCAGAGTAAAGAAGTCCTGAAGATTGAGAGGTATATAAGTCAGGCAAAGAAACAGGGATGATGGACCTTCAATGGTGAGGTACATGCTAGGAAAAAGAGCTAAAGAGGAAACAGGAGGAAAGTAGGGAGAGGCAACAGGCCCCTGAAATGGTCCAGGCAAGAGTTTCCTACTTCTAGAAAGGATGTAGCAAGGATGAGGTATCAGAGCCCAGGCTCTGGGGTCAGAGAGTACTAGCCTCAATTCCAAGCTCTTCCCATTTCTCATTAGCTATTCACCCAGGGGGAAATTACTCAAGCCTTCTAAGCTTCAGTATCGTCATCTGCAAAATGAGCATAAGAACAGTCTCAACTTCACAGGCTGTTGTGGAATAATGCATAGATTAATGCCTGGCATGTACTTTGCACAGAACCTGAAGTACAAGCAGTGAATACACTGCAGCCACTATAATAAACATTATCATCACCGCCACCACCATCTTGGTCACCAGAGCCTGATACGAACATGGCATCACAAAGGGAACTCCTCTAAAACAGCACCGTAACTGAAATCCTTAATTTACATCCAGGCCATCCTGCTTCATTCATAGACCCAAGAGGTACTGTAGAAGAATCTTTGCCCGGCCGGGCGCGGTGGCTCACGCCTGTAATCCCAGCACTTTGGGAGGCCGAGGCGGGCGGATCACGAGGTCAGGAGATCGAGACCACCCCGGCTAAAATGGTGAAACCCCGTCTCTACTAAAAATACAAAAAATTAGCCGGGCGTAGTGGCGGGCGCCTGTAGTCCCAGCTACTTGGGAGGCTGAGGCAGGAGAATGGCGTGAACCCGGGAGGCGGAGCTTGCAGTGAGCCGAGATCCCGCCACTGCACTCCAGCCTGGGCGACAGAGCGAGACTCCGTCTCAAAAAAAAAAAAAAAAAAAAAAAAAGAAGAATCTTTGCCCAAATAATTTCCAGTGCAAAAAGCTATCTCTCAAATTCCTTCCTTTGTATACTCACACCATATAATTTATTCTCATTAATCACACAATAATGTGAGAAGTACATTCTAGAGAAGGGGGGAAAATTATAGAAGTCTTTGGGATGTCTGTGGTGGGTTTGTTTTTGAACATCATCAGTGTCTGCTCTTTCCTTACATAAGGATAGAGATCACGAGCGAAGCAGATGTGACATGATTGTCATTGCCATCATGTTCACAACAAGCATCTGAAAACATAAATTTTTGCAAAGCCCTTTTGCACTCAGTTAGTCTTTGTCACCACTCTGAGCATGATATTACCGTGCAGAAAGAGAAAAATGGTACAAAACATTCTACTCGATTCTTCTTCATTGTGTTTTCAGTAATCATTTATTTTAAATTCTTCCTGTGGTCTAAGAGCTAACATGAAAGTATCATACTGGAATCCATCCATGAGTGCTCGAGGAAATGTGTGGAGAATATTGTGTTTTGATTCCTCAGCCATGGTAATAGACAGAACATTCACAAAACCCTTGCTCTTTAAAATATTCCATGGCCAGCCAATATTTGTCAGAGTGATATTGCCATAGAGTCAGCTCTGGAAAAATAAAGTCATGAGAAAACACAAGCATTTTCATCTTCCCCAGAACGCTGGCCAGGATATCTGCTTATCTCTGCCATCTATGCTGACACCATCTACAAAAATCACAATGTTCCCCTCACTTGAAAAGCACACAAATGAAAGGAAAGCATAGGATTCCAACAATTCTCTCTGAACCCAACAGACTGCTGTTATAAATTCGCAAAGCTTTCTTCCAGCTTTAAATTTGTTCTTCTGCAAGAGCATCGTAACAACTGAGTTCATTCTATCTACACGGAAAATAAGCAGAAGAAAACCTAATCGTTCATGAACAAGAATTTTTTCATGAAATAGAAAAGAAGGAGTTGAAGCTGATGGGAAATAATGTGGCCAGCACATCATTAAATGTGGAAAGAGCTCTTAGGCTATGAAGCATGTGGGATTGGGAACATGGTAGTTAGGAAATACCCATGTGTTATCTGAATCAAAATAAGAATTCCTGTTATGAAGGGCTTCCCCAATGGCTTTTAGAAAATCTGATATAAAGTCTCAAGAAATGAAACATGGCAAAGTCTTGGAGGAGTCCACAAAAAAGCCAGAGAAGTGTGAGTTACGGAGTAGACTTTTCTCTCCATCTGAAACCTGTTCCATGTGAAAGAAATGATTTTTCACCAGAAAAGATCATCAGTCACTAATGCCACTAACAGAATCCATTCAGCTATTTAGTGAATGATTTTTTTTCATACTTCTGTTTCTGTAACTGCTAGTTATCCTTCTCTGTACGTAACACACTCTTGGAGTTAAAAATACAACCCCTGGAGTCAAACTACCTGGTTCTGCCACTTACTAGCTCTGACCTCATTTCCCCATATGTAAGTAAAGATAATAACTAAATGAGTTATGCAAATAAGACATTACCACTAGGTCTGGCCTTCACGCCACTTTTCAGCCTTTTCAATCTCCTCTAGTTCTAGTGTGTCCTTCTTAGGAAGGAAACAGGCAGAATGTATGATGTCTTTCCAGCATGACTCCAACACTGTCTTCCGAAAGAGCTTGAAAATGCATCCCTTGATTTTATTCACTCTTTACCAAATATGTACTGAGCTCTTACTGTGAGCTCATGGGTACTACATTAGAAGTTGGGATACACTAAGGGAAAAAAACGGATACAACAACTAAGACACAATCCTTGCACTTAGTCTGCTTCCCGCTGTCCCACTGTCCTTATAGAGGGTGACCAATATTTAGCTGAATTTAGAGGACTGTCTCCCAATCAGTGACACTAATGCCCTCAAGAGGAAACAGTCAAAGAATCCCAGGTCCCTTTCCTGGGTCATAATAATCCCCAGTTTGATGTGTAGATGTGTCTTGCTAAGTGCAGAAAATATGGAATTATCATTAAAGAGAAATTCCTTGGACACATTTCAGGACTAGGCATCTTCCTTGTCATTAATCTCTGGGATTGTATTAAACAATCAGCTAAGATCCGGCTTTTGAGATGCATTATATTCCTTTTTTTTTTTTTTTTTTTTGAGAAAGAGTCTCACTCTGTTGCCCAGGCTGGAGTGAAGTGGCACACTCTTGGCTCACTGCAAACTCTGCCTCCCGGGTTCAAGTGAGTCTCATGTCTCAGCCTCCTGAGCAGCTGGGATTACAGGCACACACCAACATGCCTGGCTAATTTTTGTATTTTTAGTAGAGACAAGGTTTCACCATGTTGAGACCAGGCTGGTCTCAAACTCCTGACCTCAGGTGATCTACCTGCCTTGGCCTCCCAAAGTGCTGGGATTATAGGCATGAGCCACTGCGGCTGGCCAAGATGCTTTATATTCTTTTAAAACCATTGTTGTGTCTATCTGTTAACTGCACAAATATTTACCAAATGCTTACCAAGAGCCAAGGACTAGACTTGGCACTGGGTAGAAACTAGTAAGGCATGGTCCTTCTTCTACATAGAATCTTAGCATTTTAGAGATGAGTTCCCAGACATGGTCCAGAAGGTCACAGTTCACACCATTAGGCAAGGCAGTATTTGAAATAAAAGTCATGTCTAATACTAAATCCAGTATGTTCTCTCCTTCAGGATTTTACTCTCATTGCTGCCCCTTGGTTTGCTATGCTCTTCCCCAGACAGCTGCACAGCTCATTTAATTTAGATCTCATTTAATTTAGATCTCTCAATTAATTTAGATCTCTGTTAAAAAAAAAAAAAAGCCCTAGGCAGCAAGGTCTAACATATCATCCTCAAATTAAAGAGAAAGCCCTTTGGTGTTATTTTTCTTTATAGCACTTACCAACTCCCAGTAGAATGTAAACTCCAGTAGGGCACATATCTTTGCCTCTTTTATTTACTGCTCTATTCCCAGCACCAGAACAGTCCTTGCCACAAAGTAGGTGCTCAATAAACATTTGGTGAATGAATTAACCTAGTGTTCTTTTTACCTACACATGCACACACAGAGCCATGACACTCCTGCCGAGGAAGCTCGCGGCTCTAAGAGGGACATTAAAGAAAAGCCAATTCAGTGCCTGCCAAAGAGTAGAACATGTTTTGACAGCAGGATCAGCTTGGGTGGTGGACCAACAATGGGTTGCAGACCAAGAAAATCAAGGAAAACAGGACAAGTAGCATTCAGCCTCAGTGTCATGGAGGCAATGGGGGAGGTAAGGAAAAGATGTGGTGAACTAGACACAAACACATCTAAAGGCTAACTGGGTCTAGTTGTGTCTTCATATTTCTCAAGGAGATATGGAAATCCCAAATTGTATGTGAAAATTACTTAACTCTTCAGTTCTTAATGCAAAATCATAGAGAGTCAACCAACTTTAGGTACAAAACAATGTATGTACTGAATGTCTCATGTTTTCTCAGAGTTTCTGTGAGGAAATAGCAAAAAAAAAAAAAAGAAAGAAAAAAGAAAAAAGAAAAGAAAAGAAAACAAAGAATTGCAGAGCTCTGAATGGTACTAGAATCAAGTAGACTCAAAAATAGGTCAGAAAAATAGCTGAAATCACTTTAAATTTACTAGGCCAAAAATAAAAATAAAATGATCTGGGAGAAAGAAGTCATTCTCCTAATTTTAATATTTATATATTTAATACCTCTTGCTTCTTTCTAAAAGGACTTAAAGCAATTTATGAAAAAGCACACAACATCCCAAGATGAACCAATGATGGAAAATTAATATAAGTGGATGAAGAAAATAGAATGAAGGAAACATAATTCAAGAAAAAAATAAAATGAGTTCAGGAATAAGATTAGTACACAAATGCAAATAAAAGCCTGCACGTTTTCTAGAGGTGGGTCACAAATTGCTTTCTAAGCCAGAGGGTTTACAGTTAAACATCTACAGGGCCCAGGCAGGTAAAATTAAAAAAAGTAAAACTGAAGAGTGCCTGTTCTATTTTAAGGAAAATGGCAATACTTTATTGAATCCCATGGTTGCCATAGTGACATGAGAGTTCAATGTTACCAGATCTGATTTTTCAGTAAATGCTAGTAATTCAAACACACTTGTGTGAAATTGTCTCAGCACTGGAATGCTGGAAAATAGTTTTTCTTTTTGTTTGAAAAAAAAAAGCTGTTTAAGTTCCTTGTAGATTCTGGATATTAGCCCTTTGTCAGATACATAGATTGCAAAAATTTTCTCCCATTCCATAAGTTGCCTGTTCACTCTTATGATAGTTTCTTTTGCTGTGCAGAAGCTCTTTAGTTTAATTTGATCCCATTTGTCAATTTCAGCTTTTGTTAGCCATTGCTTTTTGTGTTTTAGCCATGAAGTCTTTGCCCATGCCTATGTCCTGAATGGTATTGCCTAGGTTTTCTTCTAGGGTTTTTATGGTTTTAGGTCTTATGTTTAAGTCTTTAATCCATCTTGAGTTAATTTTTGTATAAGGTATAAGGAAGGGGTCCAGTTTCAGTTTTCTACATATGGCTAGCCAGTTCTCCCAAAACCATTTATTAAATAGGGAATCCTTTCCCCATTGCTTGTTTTTGTCAGGTTTGTCAAAGATCAGATGGTTGTAGATGTCTGGCATTATTTCTGAGGCCTCTGTTTTGTTCCATTGTTCTATATATCTGTTTTGGTACCAATACCATGCTGTTTTGGTTACTATAGTTCTACTACAAGGACACATGCACATGTATGTTTATTGCAGCACTGTTCACCATAACAAAGACTTGGAACCAACCCAAATGTCCATCAATAATAGACTGGATAAAGAAAATGTAGCACATACAGACCATGGAATACTATGTAGCCATAAAACAGGATGAGTTGTTTTCCTTTGCAGGGACATGGATGAAGCTGGAAACCATAATTCTCAGCAAACTAACACAGGAAAGGAAAACCAAACACCACATGTTATCACTCGTAAGTGGGAGTTGAACAATGAGAACACATGGACACAGCGAGGGGAATATCACACACCGGGGTCTATCGTGGGGCGGGGGACTAGGAGAGGGAAAGCATTAGGAGAAATACCTAATGTAGATGATGGGTTGATGGGTGCAGCAAACCACCATGGCATGTGTATACCTATGTAACAAACCTGTACGTTCTGCACATGTATCCCAGAACTTAAAGTACAACAAACAAACAAACAAACAAAAACGGTATGGGTCAAAGAAAATATGTCTGTGGCCATAAAGAGGAAGAAAACATGATCAGTTACATGACTAACTATATACATAAAATAAAAACCCAAAGTTGTGTAGAAGTACAGTCATTTGTGGTATTGAAACCAGAGAGACACTTCACCCAAGAGTCTTCATAAAAAGGACATTGTAACACCCACAAGACAGACACCCCATACAATAAAGATTTGTAAGGCTCTATCTTGTAACGAGATTCAATGGGGGCAGAGGCATAATATTAAGTATAATCCAGTAAAACTAATTGCCGGGGGTGGAGGGAGGATGCACAAATTTTCAGGGATATCAAAATCTCAGAATAGAGATTTCTGCTGGCCTAGATTATTTCTGGTAGAGATTATACAGATTTCCCTGAACTATTTTATAACCAATGACCCCTTTTGATAAATGTAAATTTCTCACGCCTTCTTTCAATATTGACACTTTGGAAATGATTTCTCAAACAACATACCCTTCTTCCCTCGTTGTTGGGTATCCAGAGAAACAAATGAACATCTGTTCTTCACACTGTAATCCATAGATATTGGTTTTTCATAGCAGCATTTCATAAGTATTGAGTACTTACGGAGTACTCATTGAGTACTCAAGGTTATAGTCCCTGGCAAGGACCTGGAGCGAGGTATTCTATAGGGTTTTCAGTTCAAGGCCATTTGCTTTACTGGACAGCCCATCTGGCAGTGGAACTGAAAGTTGTCAATGCCAAAGCCCTTGGCACACCTCCAGACTCCAGCCAGGGAAGGATATGTAGGTAGGACCGAAACTCTCCACAAGAAAAATAACTTTCTGTGTCTGTTCCAGGTCACAAACAAACAAACAAACAAAATAAAGTTTACACCACACAGCAGTGCTCTGTGGAACCCCTGGGGTGGTGATGGGGAGGTTGGGTTCCACACTGGGCTCCTGACATACCTAGAGCTAGTGCAGCTTTTTTTCATCCATCTCAGTCAGTTCTGCCATCACGTTGATTTTGGAAATGCAAATTTGTTACACAGTAAACAACTTGAGCATATCCCCCAAGAATTTTGGTTTGCTTGTGCGTGATTCTGTCTTCAAGAAACAGTAGGTGAACACCCTGAAAACTGCACCCAGCTGCACCAAGCACACACTTCAAACATCTACCGGCTACCTCCGTTTACTAAGAGTGTTATGCATCACACTCATTCACTTCTGATGCTATAATTTTTGATCCAGTTTCAGATAAGCTTCCTTCTACCACTGCATAATAACTCACCAGCTGCAACTCTTCTGAAGCCACTTCTACAAGCAAAATCCAGGTGTTATTCAAAGCAAAGTAACAAGTTTGTTGTTGTATTAATGTATCGCTTAAATTAAAGGGTATAAATCTGTCTACTGTGTTTATTAGCTTCCTATCTTTTCTTTTTTCAGATGTCACTGATGAAATTTTTTAGCATTGTGCTCCTAGCCCCATTTTTCCTATACATCGTGTGTTGTCTACTGCATGATTTTGGAGTAGCCTGATGATTTTTTAGAAACACATATGTTGTGTTATAGCAGAACTGACTATACTTGGATTTTACATAAAATCTTATTTGAAAAAATGAATTTTGCTAGAATGTAAGTTCCACTCAAAGCTACTATGCTGCCCAACTACAGAGGACACCGCTCACTTCATATTTGATAGGTATCATGTTTACTATTAATTCATCAACGGGAGATTTAACAAAGAGTTATGTAAAGCTTAACATATGTCATGAAAGTATACTGCTCCGAAGAATGTATTTGCCCACTGTGGTAAACTAAAGGCAAACAAAAATATATAAAAAACAAATTATTCATCATCTTCACAGGTAAACATTTTGATATTTTTCCTTTCAGTCTTTTTTCTTCGTACATATAACACCACTATCCCTGCCCTGTGCACAATTTCACTTGACCTACTTATTTTAGCTTGGCTTTAAAATTGACCTGCCACTTCTAAATTAAATATGATTTCTTTTCAGAGACGAAAAGAAGTACTGCCAAATTGACTCAATCATTTAACATTAATTAATTAACATTAATTTAAGATAGTGCATGCTTTCTGCTGAGCACTGTGCTCTGTGACATACAAATTAGAATATTCCATAGTCTGTGCTTAAGCACTAAGAGGACTGATTAAAGTTTCCAAATTTGGCACAGCTGCAACCTTTCTTACCCTTAAGATGAATTACTATTTTCATTCCAGTTCTAAGATTTGTTAAAAATATAAATTGTATAAATAGCACACTCAGAAAAGAAAATGGACTTGTATTATTAGTGTCCTGCAAATTACAGCTTCAAGAATTGCATCCTGCACTTTTTATCTATCACCTTTTCAAATATTATACCACCAAAATTAACTATACAAAACAAAGATGTGTTTGAACATTTTAAGCAGTAAACATACACATTAAAGTGTCATGAAGATTGCCTACTATTTTTCCCTCTTCTTTCTTCCAATAATTATTTTAAGATCTGATTATTTTGTATGTGTGAATATGGATTTAAGGGTTTAATAAATTACATCGAAGATATATGTACTTAAGCCTAGTCTTGAATGTATTCTCATCTACTAAAAGGTGAAATATGTCTGTCATTCCATAAGCTTAATTAAGTTTCTGAACTGGCAACACACAACTAGGAGTAAAAAGCAGTTTAGAGGCCTGGTGTGGTGGCTCACACCCATAATTCCAGCACTTTGGGAGGCCAAGGTGGGTGGGTCCCTTGAGGCCAGGAGTTCAAGACCAGCTTGGCCAACATGGTGAACCCCCATCTCTACTAAAAATGCAAAACTTAGCTGGGCATGGTGGCATGTACCTGTAATCCCAGTTACTCGGAAGGGTGAGGCACGGGAATTGCTTGAACCTAGAAGGCAGAGAGGTTGCAGTGAGCTGAGATCGCAGCACTGCACTCCAGCCTAGGTGACAGAGTGAGATTCTGTTTCAAAAAAAAAAAAAAAAGAGAAAAAAACAGTTTTGTGCTTCATCCTGAATCACCTTTCGATGACATGTTGAGAAATACTGACAAATGATGACAACAGGACAAAATCCAAAGAGGCTGGATAATTCACATATCTAATAATCTGCTCTGAAATCATTGATAATTAATTTTCCTGTCGATCTCTTTTTTTAAAAAAAGCTCTTTGGTAAGTCATTATGGAGGTTAAAGAATGGCAGAAGAGGTGCCAATCTCCACCACATTTTATTCTTCCCTTTCCGAGGTGCCAATCTCCATCACATTTTATTCTTCCCTTTCTCTCATTGAAAGGAGCAATTGTCTTCTTATTCTAACAATGTCTGGATGGTAGCTGAGCCTTCCATCAAGACTCCTGTCCCTTTCAAAGACCTCTGTGTATATGTGACACGATGGATTAAGTGTTCCAGCTCACCCCGGGCAATTAATTTTCTCAAACCTCACAGTGGTTCACCTTATTGTGCCCATAGAAGTGTTCCTGGCACAGCCTTTTGAGAAGGGGTGAAAGCAAACCCCATCACATTTCTACCAAAGAAGATCTCACAGCAGAGGACAGATGACCACCCTTGCAAGGAGGACCAGAAGTAAGGTCTAGGAGTGTGGTCTGGACTGACCCTTAGCAACAGAGATGTCTCTTTATAGTATCATCTCAGATTCTATTCCATAATATACCCTTGCTTACATCAGCATTTAAAAGCTCCTAAATTACTGATCAGCTGAAATGGGATACTTTTCTACCCTTACCCAAAATATTCAAGAATTACTGATGTCCCAGAAAGAGAGGCCACATTAACCTCCCACTTCACACAGCCCTTGCAACAGGGTTTCAGACTTGGGGAGGAGGGGTGTGGGGGGAGGGGGATGGGGTGCAATTATTTATATGTGAGATCCACAGCACTGAGAACATAAATGCTTTCATTTTTAAAGGTCCTAATGTGAACGTTTTCGTTTTTCAAAAAATCAACTGAAATTCCCTTACTTTTTTTTTTTTAAATATCGGTTTCTTTCGTGGGTACTGAACATTAATGAATGGAAAGTCGGTTCCCTTCTGAGCCCCCACATAGATATAACTACCATTCAGAATAGCTGTGGGCCACTGACATGCCCCAGCCCCTCACGGTGGCCTCCATGAGCTGAAACGAAGTGGGTAGGACAGCTCAACCAGCCGATGGCTGGGAGGATGCAACTAGACTCTTCCTTTGAAAGAGCACGTCAAAATTCCGTTATTCATTAGAGTATCCTAAAATAGACAAGAAGATAAAATCCTCAACTATGCTAGGCACCGGAAGAAAAAAAAAAGTAATCACAAAATGAAAACTGCCTTTAAAAAGTAATTAAGGTTAAACTTAAAAAAAAAAAAAAGAAAATCACATGATTTTGTTCCTCATACTATAGTTAATGAAAAGGGGCATTTATCTTCCAGTGGGAAAAGCAGTGTTTTTATCATTTCATCAGAGATCACTACAAAGCTCATTTGTAACGGCTTGGAGAATCTTCACTTTTTTTTTCAAGAACCAAAGTTCTCTGGAGTTAGAACCCAGCCACTTATTCTAATGTCTAACATTCTCCCAAGTCCCTTTAAAAGAAAAAAAAAAATGAACTTCACATTGACTGATGCATGACATTGTTTCAGTACAAAAATGAAAAAAATGAAAAACTGTGCAGGTTGAAACCATTATTCCATGTCATAAAGCAGCAGTAATGGCCACTCAGCAAAATCTAAACCATTTTTAAGGTCATAAACAAGCACATAAAGTGTGCTACCCTAATTTATTGGAAACCTCCTCTTGAAAAGAAAGGTTCATGAAGGGCTGCAGCTCAATCATACTGCTCTCCACACTTCAGCCACAGAACTTACACATGACCTTTGCAATTCCCCTTGCAAATTCTTTCAGCACTTGGGCATTTGACTTTTAAAATTAGGGGGAGGTAAGGCAAAGCTACAAAAATGAGCAGCAGGAACACTAGAATATGCTGAAATGCGACCAATGTCTTTCTTACAGAAGAAATGCAGGCAATATTGATTTACAGAATCTAATGCAGAGAGCAACTAGTCAGCTCTCCATTACCACTTTATATTTTAAAACCAGAAAAGCAAAATCAGACTTACCCTGGGAAGCCATCCTATAGGCTGACTCAGAAAAATAGCCTGTTGACAAGCCAAAAAACAGTTACAAACCAATGCTCCAGAAACGCACAGGGTTTAATCCTCCCATCCACCTACTAACCCCTGCTACTACATATGCGTCTGGTTTTTATTAAAGAACTTCTGCAAATGTACAGTGGATGAGTAATCATTCAGACTTCGTAAAACATGCCAAATCCGTCACTAATAACAGTTGTTTCATTTACTCATCACATTTTTGTGTGCCTCTATTTTTTTTTTTTTTAGCAAAATTAGTGCTTTTGCTGACGTAAATTCCCTGCCACCTGGGCATGCATATAGTGTCCAAAAGGCAGGAGACTGACTATTCTGTGTATAACTTTTTCTGAGTCTTTATCAGTTGTAATGTTGAACTAATGTGAAACGCATAGCCTACTTGACAAACCATCTTTTAAAATTAATATTACCACTATTTTCCTAAGTACAAGAACATTTCTATTCAATTCTACTCTATCTTCTTTCATTTAAAAAGGCAATTGTTTTTTATAATAATAATTAGAAATGCTAAAGAATATTAAGCATAAATTCATTCCTCACTATCTCCCCATCTAATCCATTCTGTAAGATATAATCACTGCTGGCAATTTGAATGCACCCTTCCAGAACGTTCTATGTACATATTATGCAAGTGTGTATACACAAATACACACATGCATACACACTTCAAAAAACCCTTGGGGACTGATGAGTCTTGAACATCAGAGTTTTCCAGATTTTATAGAGATAATAGAGATCATATACAGTATAGTACTCCAGTGAGATCAGGGCAACAGTTTGTAATCAAGTACATTAATATTTCTGCCGGGAAACATATGAATATTCAATTAAGTGGAACAATGAAGACTATAAATAGCCTTGTGTCACTTCAGGTCAGGTAATTCTGCCAATGAGGTATCAGACAAAAAAAATCCTTCGACATTCAGAGAATTTTGGATTTCAGATTTGAAGATAAGATACTTCAGACCTATTGTTTTTCTCCCAGTTAGATCAAGTTTTGGAAACTTTAACTATTTTTATTACAAATGTTTATGATTGGAAATTTTTTAAATACACACGAACAGAATTTAAGTCACCTATAAAATCCCACTAGACAGATAATTCAGCTTTTATTCGGTCATATATTGAGTGCCTCTTGAGAGTACAGGCTCAGTACTCTGTGGGCACATTAAAAAATTAAAGCAAACACAACTCCTGTTTTCAAACAAGGTAGAAAGTAATACCTGCCTTAAAAAATCAAAAGGTATTGCGCTACTGAAGCTCAAAGGCAGTGTCAAGTGGACACGTATTATCTTTTAGGCTGCCCAGCACCTTTTAAGATACTTCCTGTGCTTGAAAAATTCCCCTTCTAATGAATGTAGAGGGAGACAGAGATAGCTTTGACTTTAGAAGCCAAAGGTTCACTTTCCCAGACTCTCTTGTAGCTAGCATGGAGACATATGCCTTCAGGTTCTCAATCAGATATATCTGGGACAAATAGTGTGAAGCTGTATGTACACTGGCAAGGAAAGATGCAGCTACATCTGGAAGCCCTAAGGGTCAGGGGCTTGGCTGTGTGGTCTAGTGGTCCACATTGGGGACGTCAATGGTGCAGGCTGCAGTATCTGTGCCCAGTGAGGGCAACATCAATATTTCCATTGGATCAGTTCTACAACACGCTGGGGGAATCAGTCCTGGCCAGTCAGCCTCTGGTTTGTTTCTCTGGCCTCCAGGGACCCAGAGCTCCTAAAAATCCTTTAATATACACATGAATATATCTTTTTCTGCTTAAACTAGGGAGGGTTCAGTTTTCTGTTGATACAACCAAAAAATCTGACTGCTACAAGGAAGAAATTTCATTTAACAAAGCAAGGCAGCACAATGTACTGAAAAGCTGAAAAGAGCAGTTTCAAAATTTGACTGTTATCCCACCCTGTCCTAACTGGCTCTGGACCCACAGACAAGCTTATTGAATTATTTGCTCATCATATCTATAAAATAATAAGATCCACTTTGTAAAATTGTCATGAGAAAGAAATGTGTTCTTTCATTGTATTCACTCTCTTGTTCATTCAAGTATTTATTGAGCTCCTACAATATGCTACACACCCTACTCAACGCCAGGTACTAGGGTTGCTGGATGTAGCATTTAAACCTACCAGACATCTGGTTAAATTTGAGTTTCAGGAAAACCATAAATAATTTTTCAGTATAAACATGTCTTACATTTGGCATATACTTATACTAGGATATTATTTGCTCAATAATGTTGCAGGATACAAAAATCAACATTAAAAAATCAGTAGTATTTCTATATGCTAATAGTGATCTACCTGAAAAATAAATCAAGAAGATAATTCCATTTACAACAGCTACCAAAAAATAAGCTATATAGGAATAAACATAACCATCAGGGTAAAAGATCTCTACAATGAAAACTATAAAACAAGGAAGAAAGAAATTGAAGAAGACACAAATAAATGAAAAGATATTCCATGTCCATGAACCGAAAGAATTAATATTGCTAAAATGGCCATCCTATCCAAACCAATCTATAGCTTTATTATAATTCCTATCAAAATACCAATGACATTCTTCATAGAAATAGAAAAAAAATCCTAAAATTCATATGAGATCACAAAAAAACCCAGAATAGCTAAAGCAATTCTGAGCAAAAAGAAGAAAGAAGCATCACACTACCTGACTTCAAAATATACTACAAAATTATAGTAATCAAAACAGCATGGTACTGGCATAAAAACACACACAAAGACCAATGAAACAGAATAGAGAACCCAGAAATAAATTAGCACACCTACAGCCAAATGACTTTTTACAAATGTGCCAAAAACACTCAATAGGAAAAGGACAGTCTCCTTAATACATGGTGCTGAGAAAATCAGATATTCATATGCGGAAGAATGAGACTAGGCCCCTACCTCTCACCATATACAAAAATCAACTCAAAATGAAATAAAGACTTAAATGTAAAGCCTAAAGCTATGACTCTACTAGAAGAAAACACAGGCAAAATGCTTCACAACACTGGGCTTGGCAAGGATTTTTTAAATAAGACCTCAAAAATACAGGCAACAAAAGCAAAAATAGACAAATGGGATTACATCAAACTAAAAAGCTTTTGCAAAGCAAAAGACAATTAACAGAGTGAAGAGACAACCTACTGAATGGGAGAAAACATCTGCAAACTAAACATCTGACAAGGAGTTAATATCCAGAATAGCTAAGGAACTTAACAGCAACCAACCAACCAAATAACTCAATTAAAAAATAGAAGCTGGGTGCATGCCTGCAATCCCAGCACTTTGGGAAGCTGAGGCAGGTAGATTGCTTAAGCCCAGGTGTTTGAGACCAGTCTCGGCAACGTGGCAACACCCGGTCTCTACAAAAACTACAAAAATCAGCCAGGCGTGGTGGCATGCTCCTATAGTCCCAGCTACTTGGGAGATTGAAATGGGATGATGGCTTGAGGCAAGAGGTCAAGACTACAGTAAGCCATGATCGTACCATCACACTCCAGCCTAGGTGACAGAGTGAGACTTTGCCAAAAAAAAAAAAAAAAAAAAAAAGGTAAAAGAGCAAGCTTAATAGACACTTTTCAAAAGAAAATATACACATGGCAACAGATATGAAAAAAGTACTCAACATCACTAATCATCAGGTAAATGCAAATCAAAGCCGTAGGGAGATACTACCTCACTCCAGTTAGAATGGCTACTATCAAAAAAAAAAAAAAAAGAAAAGAAAACAAGTATTAGTGAGGATGTGGAGAAAAAGGAACACTTACACACTGTTAGAGAGATTGTAAATTAGTACAGCCATTTTGGAAAACAGTAGGAAGGTTCCTCACAAAATTAAAAATATAACTACCATATAATCCAGCAACCCTTCTATTGGATATATATCTAAAGGAAATGAAATCAGTATGCCAAAGAGATATCTGCACTCCCATGTTTATTGCAGCACTATTTACAATAGCCAAGATATGTGATCAACCTAAGTGTCCAACAACAGATGAATGGATAAAGAAAATGTAGTATATATACAGAATGGAATATTACTCAGCCATAAAAAAGAATGAACTCCTGTCATTTGCAGCAACATGGATGAAACTGGAGGCTATCATGTTAAGGGAAATAAGCCATACACAGAAAGACAAATATCATATGATGTCACTCAAATGTGAAATCTAAGGGGTAAAACAAGCTGACATCATAAAAGTAGAAAACAGAACAGTAGTTACCAGAAACTAGGAAGGGGATGGGTGAAGAAAGGATAGGGACAGGTTAGTGAACAGATACAAAGTTACAATTAGATAGGAGGAATAACTTCTGGTGTTCTATTGTACAGTACAGTGACTGTAGTTAAAAGTAAGGTATTGTATTTTACAAAACAGCTAGAAAAGAGGTTTTTGAATCTTTTCACCACAAAGAAAACACATATGCATGAGATGACAGATATGTTAACTATGCTGATTTGATCATTATGCAACACACACGTGTCAAAACATCAAATTATACCCATAAATATGTACAATTATAATGTGTCCATTTTAAAAATAAATTAGTAAAATGAAGGTAATATTTGTTTTGAGTCACAATTCAAGTTTCACTGAGTATCCATATTTAATCTGGCAATGCTACTGGGTGCACAGTAGTGCATGAAAGAGGCATGGCTACTGCTCTCACAGACCTTCAGTAATAGAGGCTGAAGGAATGCAGGTGGACAGGCAATAAAAAGGCAAACAATTACATACAGTATAAATAGGGAAGCAACCATATACAGTGTAAACAGGGAAGCAACCACATACAGTGTACATAGAAAAACCATCACATATAGTGTAAACAGAGAAAAAAGCACATACAGTGTAAACAGAGAACCACATACAGTGTAAACAGAGAACCACATACAGTGTAAACAGGGAAACAACCACATACAGTGTAAATAGAAAAACAACCACATACAGTGTAATGTAAACAGAAAAACAACCACATACAGTGTGAACAGGGAAGGAACCACATACAGTGTACATAGAAAAACAATCACATACAGTGTAAATAGAAAAACAACCACATACAGTGTAAACGGGGAAGGAACCACATACAGTGTACATAGAAAAACAATCACATACAGTGTAAATAGAAAAACAACCACATACAGTGTAAACGGGGAAACCACCACATACAGTGTAAACAGGGAAACAACCACATACAGTGTAAATAGAAAAACAACTACATACAGTGTGAACAGGGAAACAACCACATACAGTGTAAACAGGGAAACAACCACATACAATGTAAACAGAAAAACAATCATATATAATGTAAATAGAAAAATAACCACATACAGTGTAAACAGGGAAATAACCACATGCAGTGTAAACAGAAAAACAATCACATATAATGTAAATAGAAAAATAACCACATACAATGTGAACAGGAAAGCAACCACATACAGTGTAAACAGGGAAACAACCACATACAGTATAAACAGGGAAACAACCACATACGGCATAAATAGAAAAACAATCACATACAGTGTGAACAGAGAAACAATCACATACAGTGTGAACAGAGAAACAATCACATACAGTGTGAACAGAGAAACAATCACATACAGTGCAAACAGAGAAACAACTACATACAGTCTAACCAGGTATATAACCACATACAGTGTAACTAAGCAAAGAGTATAACTAGGCAAACAATCACATACAGTATAAATAGGCAAACAACTACATACAGTGCACATAAGGAAACAATTACATACAGTGTAACCAGACAAACTATATACAGTGTAACTAGGCAAAAAAACACATATAGTGTAAATAGGGAAATAACCACATTCAGTATAAATAGGAAAACAACTATATATGGTGTAACGAGGCAAAAAAAACACATACACTGTAACTAGACAAACAACCACACACAGTGTGACTAGGCAAACAACAATATACAGTGTAAACGGGGAAACAATTGCGTACAATGTCATAGGAAAACAGCAAGCTACGAAGGTGATCCACTGGGCAATAAGATGAAAATACAAAGGGAAAGCATGAAGATAGGATGGTAAGGAAAGGCCTATCTAGAAAGTTAACCCTGAAAAAAACATCACATTAAAGGGAGTAAGTCACCTCAAATAAATGTAGAAGATCTTGCCCAAGGTCTAACACATAGTAGATGTTTGGCATCTACTTTCTTTGGCAGGGCCAGAACCTGCATAACCCTGAGAAAAAATGCCTCCTTCACTTCGTATCCTCAGAAAGAGGCCTCTTTGGCCTCACCCAGTCCTTTCCCTTGAGATAGAGAAAGATGTTAAGTGGGGGTATAAATTGACCACCAATGGCCTCCTCCTTCTGATGGTCTGGCAGCCATCATCTGTCTACAACCTCCTAAGAGATGCTGAGACAGAACTGCCCAGCCCAGCACTCCAGAATGCCTGACCCACAGAAACCATGAGAGTGAACAAAATGACATGTATTGTATTCACTCACTAAGTTTGACCATGATTTGTTATGTAGCAGTAGTAACCAAATGTTGGAAAGACCAGAGAGCAGCCAAAATTCTGAGCATTGTGGATGGAAGTGTAAATTGGGGCACCGGCTCCGGGAGACTGGCTGGCTATACCTAGGGAAGCTGAGCATGCGTACACCCTGTGTACCACCCCAGCTCCCACTCCCTCGGGCACCGTTCCACCACTGGTTCTTGTGGACTCCCACAACAAACTCTCCCTTCTCTGCTCACCAGAGCCTTCCACCAATTAGGCACACAACCCCCAGATTAATCTTTCTAAAGCTCACCTTTCACTGTGTCATTCTGCTCTTCAAATAATCTCCCATGTATATACTTAATAAGTATTTGCTGATTGATTAACTGTAAGATTCAAATCTGGGGAATTTTACTTACCTGGCACTGAGGGGTAAAAGAAACAAAGCAAACAACCCAAGCATTCAGAAATTTACAAGGCAGCTCCTTGAAATGCCCTCCACAAAAATGAAACTCTTGCCGGAAATCAAGATTGTTGTGAAATCCATATATAGAAATATGTCTTGAGGACCCAGATTAGTTACCTACTGCTATCTAGTCAAACAAAAAAATTGCAAAAGATATGGTATTACTATGATAGTGACAACCAACATCACAGCACACAGCAAAGAACGGAAGGTCTTCCTTTGCATGGCAAGGGGAGAAAAAGTTTATCCCCACCATGGAAGAGGAAAGAAAAAGGAACAGAAAAAGAGGACAAGAACGTCAACCCTTAACCCTGTCGAGGATTTTCTGCTAGTGCCCTACTCCATGTCGATTGTCCAGACCATATCATTAGTGATGATAATAATGGGGGGGAAGCATAATTGTTAACGGCTGCCATTTACTCCGTGCCCATCATGTGCCAGACATTACACTGAGCCTTAAGATACTTACATCTTCAACAGCATTATTGCAACCAATATTTAAGTATGGTACTATGCTAACTGCTTGACACACATCATCTCATTTCAGCCTCAGAGCAACCCTGCAAGGTTGTGTATCGTTATCCCTATTTTACAAGATGAGGAAACTGAGGGGTAGAGAAGTCAGCTAACTTGCCTAAGGTCTTATCCACAAACACTTTGAGGGTCTAGGGTAAAGCAAGATGAAACAGACAGCAAAAATCAATAAGAAAAAGATGAAAATGGATAATGGGAATATTTGTAATCTGAAAAGAAAATACAGGGATACATTAAAAGCTAATTTATGGCAACGTAAGACATGAGATTCATGAAACCATAACCGATGGGATGCAGTATACATGGAGCAACCAGCCAAATTTAAGCTCCATGTTGGGCACACTGAAAGGGAGAGACAGATATCATATCTGTTCATTCATTTATTGAACCCCCTTTTCATTTACTGAGCACCCATTATACACCAGACAGGTTCAAAGTGTGGGGGATACAGCAGTGAGCAGAGACAAACATCCCCACTTTGATGAAGCATCGGGATGGGGAGGGAAATTCTAATGATAAACCTGATAAACCAAATAACTAAGCACAGAAAATGTTAAAGGTAGCAAGTGCCAGGGTTAACAATAAGCCAGAACAAGAAGCAACCAAAGGGCCAGGATTTGGGGGCCAGGAGAGGAATGCAATTTTAAACATGGTAGTCAGGGTAGGCCCAGAGGATGACATCTGAGCAAAGTCTTGAAGGAGGTGAGGCAATGAGCTCTGTGCGTGGTAGCAGGCCGAGCTTTCCAGGAAGTACACACCCAGGTGAGCTCCTGTGCAGCACACTGGGCAAGAGTGAGGAGGCCAGCCCAAATGCAGCAGGGAAGCACAAAGGGGAAAGCCAGATTGAGTAACAGGGGCCAAACTGCAGAAGGCTCTTGTGGCCACTGTACACCAGTGATTCTTTGACTTTGAGGGTCATGAACCACCGATAGAACCTGATGAAAGCAAGGGAACCTCACCCCAGAAAAGAGCATCTGCACAAAACACTGCCCTAATTTCAGAGGCTTAACACCTTCCTGATCCATCCTAGATTCGCAGAGCTGAAACATCGCCCAGAAGATCACATCACGGTCCCTCCTGCTGAACCAAAGAAACACACAGATGGAACTCTCTCTTTAATGATATCCCTAGAGGAAACAGTGATACGTGGCAGTGAATTCTAAGGTTCCTCCACTGTCTGAGGCTCCTCTCAACCCACTGTCATCACCAAACTGGGAATGCCATCCTCAGGCATCACTGGCCCTAAGGGAGGTCACCTACATTTGTTACCTGGGACTTACTTCCATCAGCTCAAAACCACACCAATAGTGATGTTAACATCCATAGGGAGAAAGAATGTATGCATTAGTAGTCCAAGTGGAACCAAATGACAGGTGGAAACAATCTATCACCTGACAGTTGGTGTGTGTGTGTGTGTGTGTGTGTGCATCCACACCTTTGTATATACACAAATATATTTGTATATTTGAGTTCTTTTCATATTAGCTAAAATAAATCAAGAACTGTTTTTTTACTGCTGAATTTTATGTGTTTGGAATAGTGTCAGGCACAAAGTAGTTCCTCAATAAACGATGGCTGAACAAATGAATAAATCCAAAGAATTACTTTTTCTGAATCAATCTAGAAAAAAGTGGATCAAAAGTCACAGTTAAATAGAATATTTGTAGTGGAAAGTTAAGGGGATATGGCTTAAAGGTTAGGGGACATGAATTTTAAAATCTCAATGCAATACAAGCCACAGTACTCCATGTCAAAATTCACGCCTATAGAATAACAGAAGTTATATCACTTTCTGTCATCATGATGCAGGTTCCTCATCAATGCTTCTAAACCGTCTGTGGCATTAGTTTGTTTGTCTTTTTAACTCCAAATCCATCACAGGCTGATACTTTTATAGACTATATAAAAGTGAATTCTTAGACAAATGAGATGAAAAACAAAACAAACACAAATATGCAAGCCCAAATTTGTATTATTAGGTCCAACAGACCTAAAGCTACTCTTTCCGATTGCTCTAAAATTTCAGAACACTCTATTTCTATTCTTAGCATATTGTAGGACAGCACCACACAGTTCATGAAGCAGTCCAGTCCATGGGTCACACTTTGAGTGGCATGAATCTTAGTAAAACACACACACACACACACACACACTCACACGATATTCCAGTATTCAATTCAGATGCCAATGTTTTTGTTCTCTAGCTGATAATGAAAAAAAATAAAGCTCTGCTTCCTATTAAATTTGTCAGACACTTATATAAACCATCAAGGAATAAAATTAGCAAGTTCATGATGCTCATGTCAGACTCCAGGAATATGTTCATACATGATTATGCCTTACTTCAAATCATCCCAAGATTAAAACACAGAAATGAGGGTCAGATTATCACTCATTTTATAACAGGTTGTACATTTAGTGGAATCATTATAATGAGACTCATTTTATATATCAAAATACCATGGTGATTTTATATTTATCTATTTATATAATATAATCTGTATATTTACCTTCTATATTTATATATACATATACACAGACTTATAGAAACATTTTATTGTGTAAACTAGTATGGTGAATTTTTTAAAAGCTATTAAAATGTCGTATACTTAGGTAACAAGTGGTTTCCTTTATTCTAGGTGAGTTAACATTATCTACTTGAGAATCATCCTATACAAGCTAAATAAAAAATTGATTAGATATCACCTATAAATAAAACTGACCTATTACTCTTCTAAGATGAAAACAAGTTGCCCTTTTTTATTATTACTAAAATAGCTCCAGATTAATGAAGGATGCTCACTAATCTTCTTAAATTATTCTTCATCTTAAAATACAACGTTTGAAACTATGTACACATAATCCTGAAATCTCTGGTCGGTCAAAGCTCCTTAAGTTGGGGTGAGTTAATAATTTTCCTCAAAGTTCATCCAAATGTGCATTCCAGAGAAAAGCATGCTTGAGGCTAAACATGGTGTCAATACTGACTGATTTACTTATTAGCTGGCACCCATGCCAGTAATCATACCTTGGGCCAACTGTATAGAAAGGTAAAGATATACTTGATCACATTTATGACAAGAATTGTATAGACGCAGAAGTCAACTCTTACTTTGAAGCTGCACAGAGCTTCCATCACATCACCTGGCAGAAGGAAGAACTATTTATTGAATTATGGAATGCAACTGTTGATTCCTCATTTATCATAGGCTGTGGAGGTCACTGCTGCCCAAGCTTACTTTTCTGAGAAACAGGAAGTCATCAGGGTGCCTGGGCCACTAATTTGGAGCCTTGGTCTTCTGTATATCTTGTGCATTGCCAGTTTGCTGATTTGACAGTAAAGTGATGTGAAGGTCAAAAAAAAAAGGGAAAATAAATTGGGAATTATATTCCAAAAGTCATGTCCACTGATTCAATGGAAGTGTTTAAAACATGTTTAAAACATGACTGAGCCAAGGGACTCTGTGCCAAGTCCCTTCCTACCGATTGCTCTCTCTGGGAGGTTTATATTTCCCTCCCCATTGATATCAGGCTTGACGTGTTGTAGGCAAACAAATGTGAGTACAAGTGACATATGCCACTTCCCAGCAGAAGTTCTAAGAGCCACTCTGTGGTTCCTCCGTTTCCTTTTTTCTCCTATTCAAGACAAATATGTCCCAAATGGATAGTGCTCATTAAGCCTTTGTTTCAGAAGGAATTGGACAAAGATCAGAGCTACTGTCAATCTGTGAGTTTTGTAAGTCATAAAATTTTGGAGTCCTTTGTTAATGCAGCAAAACTTAGCCTCTGCTGACTGATACAGTGGCTTTGTCTCACTGCACATCCACATCTTTAGGAGAAAAGCCTGCACCACAGTGTCTGTTGAAGACTTGAGGGTAAAGCTGAATTTTCTCAAGTCCTCACTAAAGAACTCAACTGGCAGTGGTGGTACTGGAGAAAGATGATCCTGTCCCCCTCAGATAGGATGGGTTACACTGGTGAGAGGCTGTCAAAGAGCAATGTTAGCATTCAGAGGATGGCATGAGAAGAGGAGGATGTAGGCTAATACAACAGCAAAAACTGAGAAGAAAACTCAGGAATGAATAATGTCTGCTCATTTATTCAGTTCCTGTCCCCAGTACCTAGAATACAACAGGCAGGTAATAATTGTGGCAGAGAGGAAGGGAAAGGAAAGATAAAGAATCAAACATTACTCCAAAGATAAAGCATGTGCAGGCCCTGAGAAAATGAAAAACACTGTGTACAAGCAACCAGATACAAATAGTAAAATAAGCTTGGCTGATACTTTGCTATAATGTATAAAACTTTAATTTAAAAAGTAATGGCAGCTTCCATTATTTGAGTACTTATGTGTCAAGCACTGTGCACAGTATCCATCATTTTATTCCATTATTTCCCAAACCCTGCACAACTGGTATTAGTAAGCCCATTGCCAATGAGGAGACAGGCTCATGAACATAAAGAACTAGACCAAGACTGAACAGTTAATGAGTTGTCTAACTCCAAGCTTGTGTCTTCAACCTCACATTTTGCTGTCTTCCAATGTCCAAAAGTTTTTAAAAGTAATTATAATGAATGTTCATAGCCTCACTGTAAATGCCCCAAATTAGAAAAGGCTCCAAATATCCATCAACAGTAGAATGGATAACTAAATCCTAGTAGGATTAGATAATGAAATACTATATGGAAATGAAAATGAATGAACTATATAACTACTTACAGCAATGAGGAAGAATCAATTTCCCAAACATAATCATGAACAAAAGATGCCAGGCCCAAGTAAGTACCTACTATATGACCATATGGCTTGTTCCATTTCTATAAAGGACAAGACAGGCAAAATTAATCTATGCAGTTGGTAGTTAAGATACTGGTTAACCTTGGGAGGGGTAGTGAATAAAAGGCACAGGAAGGAAGCATCTAGGGTGCAGGTAATGTTCAATTAGTTTACCTGAGGGCTGGTTAACGAGAGTCCAGTTTGTCAATAAATCATCATGGTGTACACTTATAATATGTACATTCTCCTCTCTATGTATTCCACTTCAATATATGTAGTGTAAAATTTTAAAAAGATGCACCTGCACAAGACATTTACTGATCTATTCTTTTAATGTGGACTAAAATATCATTTAATTTTAAAGTATATATCATATTTTTCCAAGTTTTGTAAATCTTAATATATAAATATAAAGAAATAAATCATTAGAGATTAAAAAGTAAAGTTTGGAGGGAAACAACCAGCTAGGAATCAGATCTGTTTTGCTATATTTTTGTGTTTTCTAACTAGGTGGACACTCTTGAGAGCAACACACTTAACCTCACTCTTGGTCAGTTTCCCCATCTCAAAAATAAAGGGATCAGACCAGATAATCCTCAAGGCACCTTATTCTGGTTTTTCTTTTACTTCCGCATCATAGGCTGGCCCATATCATACTGCTGCAGGATTCACACAGAAAAGGGGAAGAAAAGAACAACTGCTATGGCCCTATCACAAGATATGAGGGTGGAAGGAAACAACGCTTGACATGCACTCTTAATCAATTTAGGATTATCAATGTAGATATTATCACTTTGCAGACAATCCCCAGAAACTGAACTCATCCACTAGGTCCCCTCAGCAGCCTTGTTGTGAGAACCTGAACCTGAAGTTCCCACACAAAGCAGAATGGTCAATTTGTCAGACAATGAATTTTTTTCACTCTAGTATCATCAGAACCACTATTCTCTTCCTCCATTACAGATAATGGCAAACTTCCAGATTTTCCTAAAATTGGTTTATTCAACCAGAAGAGTGCAGGGAAATATATAATAGCACATACATTCTGATTTCACGCTCCTTTGAACAAATCCATTAGATTCTCTTTCAACCACTTGTTTTTTGCAACACAAGCACAGAACCCCATAATACTATTGATGGGACCCTATATTAACCCTGGGTCCAATTAGGAGAGATGGTTTGTCATTTCATCTATTAAACTTTCTCTTTTCAAACTACTGTCTGAAAATAGAAACTTTAATAGAAGAAATTACTAACTATAACAAGACTTAGCTAGCAAGAAGTAAAGAGAACCTGAAAGAACTTTAAAGAATATAGGAATGGCAGAGACAAGGAATGGCCATTAACTCTAAGACAGAGATACAGGGCCCAAGGGAGAGCCTTTATCCCCAGGGCTAAGAGCCAGAAATCTGGAGGCAGGGAAGTTGCTGTGGTGCTTCAGTGGTGGAGCTTACTGGAATCCATCCTCTAGGGTTTCAGGGAAGCTGTTCACAGGGAGGTGTCCCACCAGAGGCACCCTGCTACAAAACAGCCCAAGGAGAGGTGCCAAAGGAAGCTGCTGGCTACCAGGTGCGGCTGTGGCCACTATGCACTGCAGGGGCCAGGCACTAGTGAAGCCAGAGCCCTGGAGGAACATGGTGCTAGAGAAGCCACAAGTGCTGTGGGAAACAAGCCCTGGAGATGTCTCCGGTGCTGCAAGAGCCAGGTCCTGGAGAAGCCATGGATGCTGCAGAAGCCACGTGAGAATGCACGCCAGATTTAAGAAGGAAAACCCCTTCTTCCTGTGACTTCTCTCCAGCACCCTCTCCTGCCAAACCTTAACATCATACCATTTAAAGAGTTCAGGTCCATTTTCACAGAGCAGACAATAAAGGGTGAATTTGGACCTGAGAGGCAATAAATTGATAATCATCATAGAACCTAGAGGAAGCAATTGCAATAAGTTCTAAGAATCCAACACCCCATATGCATGCTATTGATATTGACATGTTCTTGTGAGTACTACCCTGGATACAGATGATGAAACTGATTTAGAGGGAAAACAGTTCTCTTCTCAAGATACAATAAAGTCTGGAAACAGCCAGAATAATAGAACTCCTTTTGGAGTCAAGTGCAGGGCTCTTGTTTCCTGGGGTACATTCAAATTGTCTTATTTTCCCTATATTCTGAGTTCACACCAAATCACTTTTTAGTTGGTCTTAATCTGAAACAGCCATTGACAATATCAGTCTTCTGACAAATGCTGACAGACTTTGAACATCAAATCTCTCACTGAGCTACAAATAATGTTGCTCATATTTTGACCTTTGCCTGGCCATTTACATGAATGTGGTAACTGTTTTATAATAGGATAACTTCAAGCCTATATGTATTTGGAATGTGTGAGTCGTGGCCTTTAGTCTAAGCTCTGGCCATTCTGCTAACCAAAACACAGGCTACAGGGCATATTTTGAACCACAAAAGAAATCATAGGCTACCACTCAGTATGCTTAGGAGAGCAGGATTACTAATCTGGTAGTATCACAAAGAATTCTTACA
This sequence comes from Homo sapiens, assembly GCF_000001405.40. NCBI lineage: Eukaryota > Metazoa > Chordata > Mammalia > Primates > Hominidae > Homo > Homo sapiens. The sequence continues at coordinate 69,823,783 of NC_000003.12, read as the reverse complement.
GAAAAGATCCAAAATAAAGGAAACAAGCAAACATTTGTCTGTAACTTACTTTGGTGCAGATCACAAAAGTTTTAGAGAATGTCAGATCTGAGGAAAGATTCTGATACTAAAATAAATAAAATAACTATAATCCATAATACATATTTACCAAAAAAGGGGGAAAAAGCATAAAAGACTGTTGTCTTCATATGTTGAAGCCCTAATCTTAATATGATGATATTCGGTGGTGGGGCCTTTGGGAGGTAATTGAGTTTAGATGAGGTCATGAGAATGGGGCCCCCAGGATGGCATTAGTGCCCTTATTAGAAGAGACACCAGAGAGCTTCTTTGGCTCTCTGGGGATACAGTGAGAAAGCAGCCATCTGCCAGACAGAAAGAGACCTTCTTATCAGGAATCAAATCTGCCAGCACCTTGATCTGAACTTCCTAGCCTTCAGAACCGTGAAAAATAAATATGTTGTGTAAGCTACCAGTCTATGGTATTTCATGATAGCAGCCTGAGCTGCTAAGACAAAGAGTAAGGATCAAAATCCAACTATATGCTGCATACAAGCAACAAGCCTTAAGTCTAAAGACACAGAAAAGCTAATTTAAAAAAAGGATGAGGCCGAGTGCAGCGGTTCATGTCCATAATCCCAGCACTTTGGGAGGCAGAGGTGGGCAGATCACCTGAGGTCAGGAGTTCGAGACCAGCCTGGCCAACATGGCAAAACCCCATCTTTACTAAAAATACCAAAATTAGCCAGGCGTGGTGGCATGCACCTGTAATCCCAGCTACTCAGAAGGCTGAAGCAGGAAAATTGCTTGCAGTGAGCCGAGATTGCACCACTGTACTCACCCTGGGTGACAGAGTGAGACTCTTTCAAGAAAAAAAAAAAAACAAACACCAAATAAATAAACCTTGGAAACACCAAACTAAAGTACTCAATAAGACGGGGTTGAGTAATGAATTTCAGCTGGGGCAAAAAGACTTTAGGAAAAAAATAAAATTAAAAATGAGGAAATGACTTGGGGAAAGCAAGCAAGTATTTGGTGTTTGTATGTGGGTGGGTGAATTCAAAATGTGGGAAATAACTTAGTCACCATTCCATAGTGCAGTTCAAGGGGGGAAGCACAGAAATTGCTGTTATTATCTATCTCATACTCAGCTGGTTTATTTTCCTGGTAATTAAGTTTTTCATTTCTTGTTTCTGTTCGGGTTGGTTAGGTTTGGTCTTTTTCTCTCGACAGGAATGCAAGCTCTGTCACTTTTGAAATATGCCCTTTAGTCTGTGTTTTGGTGTGACTTTTTACACTTCATTTCCCCAGTGCCTATGACAGTGCCAGGAATGGAATAAATACTCCAGAAATATTCAATGGGTGAATTAACAAAATCCAAGAAAGAAACTTTTTATCTGATTACATATCTAATAGCAAGGGTGACACAGCAAGCACATTCTAAACCAGGGGCCAGCAAGCTTTGTAGGTAAAGGGCCAGATAGCAAATATTGCAGGGTTGGTGGGCCAGGTATGATGTCTACCACATGTTCTTTCTCTGTTTGTTTTTTCAACATTAAACGGCTGGGGGGAAAAACATTCAATGTGAAAATCATTCTTAATTGTAGGGGCATCCATGAAGATGCTGACAGGCCAGGTGTGGTTTATAGTTTGTAGACCTTTGTTGTAAAATATCATCTATAAACTCAGAAGATAAGAGCAAAATATTTCTGAGAGAGAGAGACTATCAAGAAAATCCAGTTTGGGCTGGGCATGGTGGCTCATGCCTGTAATCCCACCACTTTGAGAGGCCAAGGCGGGTGGAACACTTGAGCCCAGGCGTTCTAGACCAGCCTGGCCAACATGGCGAAACCCCATCTCTACTAAAAATACAGAAATTAGCCAGGCATAGTGGCATGTGCCTGTAATCCCAGCTACTCGGGAGGCTGAGGCACAAGAACCCCTGAGACAGAGGTTGCAGTGAGCCGAGATCACGTCGCTGCACTCCAGTCTGGGCAACAGAGTAAGTGAGACTCAGTCTCAAAAAGCATAATAAAATAAAATTTTAAAATTAAAAAGAAAATCCCGTTTGAACTTTTGCTTTTTTTTTTTTTTTTAGTTTTTTTTTTTCCTTTTCTAAATGAAGACTTTAGGATCCTAATATTAGCCTTGATGGTTATCTACTTATGAGTTTTTTTTAAATCTAGGTCTAATTTGATCCTATTGAAGGAAAAAATTAATTCAAGGACCTGGAACAATAAAATGCAAAGTGAGCAAGTTGCAATGCTGCAACAGAGAAGCCAACTTGAATCGAAGTGTACGGTTTCTGCCATCTCTCATTGTTTTCCATACATCCTACCAATTAGATTTTAAGTTTCAGCAACCTCATTAGTTTTTCAGGCTTTATGACTCAAGCTTAGGGGGTTGGGGGTGGAGGGCAGCAACCCACAAAACAAAGACTTCAATGTCTCTAAAAGCTGAGAAAATTCCAGCATTGTCAGGGCAGATACTATTTATAACCCATTTAATGTGTATGCTCCCAAATGCATTTTCTACGCACAGCATCTGACCTACACTTCTGAATTCCTGGCTTTAGCAATGGAAGTGAAGCAGCTAAAAGTCTGACGATCAAAGGGAAAGAAATGAACTCCTTGCTATTATTATTTTATAACATCCAGCATCATGTGACAAACAGAATCAAAGGGTTCCTGTTTTTGACTCACCTTTGTCAAGAAAGTGCCTCATTGCTATAAGTTTGGGGCTCAAATTGCTGGAAAATGTGGGTTTGGAAAATATCCTACAACGAGGCTGAAATTTTTTTAAAAAGTTGTGGAAAATCTCATTTAACTTTTTTCCAGAACACACACACAGACACATACACACACACACACACACGAGTAAATGCTGAGACATTTTATTGAATGTGTATATATGTGGCCTATAATAACACACATTCTATTTCTATGTTGACACTTGTATTGCACCAGAGCAGGGATCTACAGGAAGATATCTTTTCACGATGTTGCCCAAAGTGCAGAGTGTTGGGCAGGCCAGCATCGCAGCAAAACTTCTATAATGATTGATTACAACAGACTGCAAGGCCTGCACATCACCTCCATTCCATTCATGGATCCCAACCAAATTAATTTTCTCCTGTGCCAATTCTATCACATCCCCTAGGTTTACAAAGAAGTTTTACCAGGCCATCAGAATCCAAAAAGAACTGAACATTTTTGTCCTGGCAGAAACTTAGAGTTTAAAAATAAAACAATGAGAATAAATTTTAAGCTCTGTAAAGCTCTTAGTTTCTAGAAATTTCTTTTACAACTGAAAAAAAAAAATCCTACTCTTGTTTTCATTGCTACATTTAAACTGTAAGTTACTAAGAAGCTAACTTAGAAATTCCAAGGTTTGGATTCCATATCTGATCTACTCCAGAGTAAAGAGTCACATCAAAGTGTAACTTGGACAGAGTTCCATGAACATCCCTGGTAAAGTTTCTCTCAAAAGCAGCACCGTCTAATAGAAATACAAAATGAGCCACACATGTATATTTCAATTTTCTAGTAGCCACATTAAAAAGAAAAACAAAATGAAGCACGTGAAGTCAATTTTACTACCTTATTTACCCAAAACATAATTCAAAACGAATCTATATTAAAAATTGTTAACAAGATATTTTACTTTCCTTTTTCATATGAAATCTATGAGGTCTGGTGTGCATTTCACACATACAGTACGTCTCAATTTGGGCTAGCCACATTTCAAGGGTTCAATAGCTACCACATTGGACATCAATGCTCTAACTCTAGCTTTTATGTTTTTGTTTGTTTGTTTGTTTTTTGAGACAGAGTCTCACTTGTCACCCAGGCTGGAGTGCAATGGTGCAACTTTGGCTAACTGCAACCTCCACCTCCCGGGTTCAAGCGATTCCCCTGCCTTAGCCTCCCAGGTAGCTGGGAATACAGGCATGCACCATCACTCCCAGCTTTTTTTGTACTTTTTTTTAGTAGAGACGAGGTTTCACCATGTTGGCCAGGCTGGTCTGGAACTCCTGACCTCAAGTGATCCACCTGCCTCAGCCTCCCAAAGTGCTGGGATTACAGGTTACAGGCATGAGCCATGGCACCCAGTCTCATGGTTTTTTTGTAGTTTTTGTTTGTTTGTTTGTTTTGTTTTGTTTTGTTTTGTTGAGTTCACTCTTCCAACCCAGAAAGTTCTAGTTGCAATGGCACGGCTATTACCAGGAGAAGAAGATATTCTGAGAAGTGTTTCAACTTCCTGGACAAGTTCACACTTGGTCTCTGCTCTCTGGCACAGCCACACTTCGGGCCATCTGTTCTAATGGAACAATGCCTGCCTGAAAGAAGTTACTAGCTTCCAGAACCAGACATGCAACCACAGCAAGAAGATTCTTCTAGCTTAAGCGCTTCCAAATTCTGAACTTCTGAACTTCATTTTTCCCAGGTGCTGCATCTGGACATTTAGCAGGGCTTAAATTAGTTACCATTTTTTGAGATCCTGTCTTTGGAAAGAGGGGCAAAAAAGCAAAGCTGAATCTTTTTTAGGATGGGCCTTTGAGGAAGAAGGTTATAGAAAACACAAGCTAACACTGGAGGAATCACTGTGCCCTTCAGATGGCATTTTTAAAAACAAATCATGACTTAAAAAGCCCCTTTAGTGTGAGGCTTTATTCCCATTCTACCTTCAACTCAACAACTATAGTTGTTTTTGTTCATGCACATTTTTCTTCTTGAAGGTGAATCTTATTAAAGTTTTAACTTATTAATCAGATAGAACTGAGGAACACTGAAGCATATGATTACTGCTTTTCATTTTAAACACTTCAGTCCTCTTTGATTGTTTCCATACACGTGTATTAGTAATAAAAATTTTAATTAATTTATTTAAAGAAGAAAATTAACCTGTTAATGCCCATGGGACTCTAGCATTGCTTTCCTTGTGAGTAAACACTTTACTTCTCCAATTTAAAAATATATCTTTGACCATAAATCCTCTCAATATTTTATGAAAATGTTCATTAAAATATTCATAAAAGTTTTCTTTAAATCCAGTATTTTCCATTAAAAATTTTAAGTATCTAGTGAGTATATATTCATCAGAAGCCCAAACTGTACTTAATTCATGTTTTCATTCAACAAATATTTATTTAGTGCTTATATTATAAATGCTACATAGGTGCTAGAGAAATGGAGATAAACATGGTTTCTTCCTAATAGGGCTTAAATTGAAGACTGGAAAGGTGGGCATGTGAGTAATAACAGTGAGGATATGAGCATTAATATTGGAAAATTGTAGAAAGCATACAGTAGTGGAACTTACGTGGTTACACTGGGATACTGAAGCTAAGATTTGACTGATGTAGAGCGGTCCACTAGAAAAACTGAGGGATAGGGACGGAGTTAAAGAGGAAAGGGGAAATCAATGCCTCCTCAAGAGAATGAACAGGACACCTAAGAGGAAACAGAAGAAGGATAAAAAGTCTAGTATAGTTGGATAACAGAAAGAAAGAAAAAAGGATGGTGGGAGGAGCAACAGGGGAAAAGGGGAAGCAGGCTTCCTAGGTCCCCTTAAGTTGCATGAACTTTGTCCTACTGATGAGAAGCTATTTAAGGGTTTTAAGAGTTGATCCACTCAAAGGGGAACAGATTAGACTTAAGAGTATAGACTGGCCCAGGAAAAAGTCCCTGCATTACAATATTCAAACTTCATACTGCATTAAATATTCATACTTCATACCTAAGTATGAAGTTTATCGCTGATAAAACCATCAGCGAAGTTTTATCCTAACAATATCTAATGCATATGTGTTTACAAAAGGAAGGTGTTCTGGACTCCTAAGTATAACTTTACATTCTGAGGTTGTCCCAGAGTAAGACACAATGCAGGATATTACAATCACATTCCTGAAGATAACCCCAAAAGGCTTGATATTGATCAAACATGAACCAAGCCCCTAGAGCCAAAAGTTTTAATTCCATTACCAACTTGTACATTATTGTTATTACATTTATTTTTAAGACAAGTATCAAACATATAGAAAAATACAAAGAAGAATATAACATACCCATACATGCACCATTCAGATTCTAAAATGTTATCTGGAATATTTGATTCATTTTTTTTCAGAAATAATATATGATGGATTCAATTTAAGACTATTTTGAATTCTTGCCTGCTCTCCCTCCCATCTCTTTTCTCAGAAAATAATTGTTTTCCTAAACTTCATGTTTCTTTCCAAACCAAGTTTTTCATGCACACACACACACACCACACACACATCCATCCAGAGTATACAGTAATGTTCTACATATTTTAAAATTTTACCTGAGTAGTACCATTGTACACATCATACTGCAACTTGCATGTTTAATTCAACAATTTCTCAAATACGTACACTAGTACTAATGAGAAGCTATCTCATGGTTTTAAGATTTGATCCACTCAAATGTTAACAGATTAGACTTATAGCACAGACTGACTCTGGAAAAAGGCCTGCTTTTGAGGGGGTGAGACAGGTTTGGAAAATTATGAACCATTTCAGGTATATCAAAATATCAAATAGAATAAAAAATAATAATAAACACACCTATGTTTGCACCACACAGCTTAAAAAGCAAAACATTAAAGATATAATCAGGTTCACTTTTAAAGGCATTTTAAATACAGTCTTCAGGAGCTTTGTATCCCTAAACTTATATGAGTATTTTCAGAAAAAGCATCAACTCTTCTGGCTACCACACCCAGAAGTCATCAATGAATTTTTCTGTAACTTCTGTGACTGTTCTGCAAGCAGTGAAAAGGAAGAGTGTCTAAGCTCTCCTTGATCCTATCACATTTGTGACAATTAACTGCCACAAGACTTGCAGCACTTTCACTTTGTAACATAACAAAAGCATTTTTTTCTATGTAACATCCTCACTTATAGTGAAAATACAGACAGCTGAATACCACGACCACCACCACCATTATCAACATCATCATCATCATCAATGAATGAGCCTTAATATGTGTAAGGAACTATACTAAGCATTTTACTTGCACTATCACAAATAATGCTCATAAACCCCTATGAATTAGGTACTACCATGCCCATTTTACAATAAAGCAGCTAAGTCAGAGAGATGTTAACTAATTGCCAAAGATCAAAACTTAGCAAATGCTGGGAACCAAATCCGAAGTCCACATGTCTGATTCTCAAACCCCTGGTCTTACATAAAAATTGTTAGAGTAAATTACACTTCAGCCATGAAAAGCAGCTGGTACCAGATTATTTCTCCCACTACAATCAACTAGAAAATCAGACAAAAATATATGAAACAAGAGTTTTCAGTTATTAAACAACAGTTCACGACTGTGGTTCCCAAAGGAAGAAAAACAAATGAGATGAGCAGTGTGATCACCTATGCTTTCTGTCTAGAAATACTTTCCAGATGGTGCAGCAGAGAGAAGGAACCTGAGCAGCACAGAGGAGTCTCAATGACATGGAAAGAAACGGTTTACATTTGGGGAGAATGAGATGGCTGGAATATGCAGGCCACAGTACAACAAAGGAAGAGACCTAGAAGTCTTTCTAGGTGTGTCCCTGAGTCTTTGGCTGAATAGTAATGTGTATATGCAGAGGGTGAGATGTCACTGTCCTGGGCAAACAGCAACTACTAGAGAAAGAATGACTACCAGGAAGAGAGCATCTGTAATAAAGTTATAAACTGAACAACTTTCAGAGCTCATCAAGGGCTGGGAAACATTCAAGTTCCAACCTGCAGAAGTGGAGAGACTTCTTTAAACACCAGGAGTGTTCTGTAGAGATCCCAGAAAGACCACACTTGGGTATAGGGCTAAACTAAGCCTACAATAAGACGACTTTAGATCCACTCTCAGAAAATTTAAAGACAGCCCTTGAAAGAATCAAGCTGATCCCAAGGAAATGATCCACTTTCCAGAACAAAATTCAACACTCCTTACAAAATGATAAAATCCAGAGACACACAGCATAACATTCACAATGACTAGCATTCAATAAAATACAGTTGACCCTTGAACAATGTAGGGGTTAGGGATGCCAACTCCCCTACCCCACACACACAGTCAAAAATCCACATATAACTTTTGACTCTCTCCAAAACTTACTCAACGGGGAATAGCCTTCTGTTGATCAGAAGGCTTACCAATAATATAAATAGTCAATTAACACATATTTTGTATATTACATTTATTGTGCACTGTATTCTTACAATAAAGTAAGCCGGAGAAAAGAAAATGTTATTAAGAAAATCACAAGAAAGAAAAGATATTTACTAATCATTAAGTGAAAGTGGATCATCAAAAAGGTCTTCATCCTCATCATCTTCATGTTGAGTAGGCTGAGGGGGAGAAGGAAGAGGGAGTTTGGTCTTGCAGACTCCGAAGTGGCAGAAGCAGAAGAAACATCACGTACAGGTGGACCCAAGCAGTTCAGACCTGTGTTGTCCAGAGTCAACCTTATTACTAGACAATGTGAGCAGGAAACGGTTAACTTGGTAGGCCTGGGTTGCTAGAACTCTGCACATACCAAAGAAAGGCCTATCTTCAGGACTGGACCTTGTTAACTCCTAGGAGATAACCTCTGAACCCTTGGAATATTCTGCTTCGTTCAGTGTTTTTGTATGTCTGAGGTCTTGGGTCATATTGTATTTATGGTAAACATTTGTTTTTGTATGCCTGAGGCCCTGGGCCCCACTGTATTTATGGTTAGCATCTGTTTTTATAAACCTGAGGCCCCGAGCCATCCTGTACCAGTTTACCAGAAAAGTTTATCCTTACAGTGCGATTTAGGGCAAACACCTGTTTTTGCCCAGGGAGAAAAGAAGAGCCGAAGTCTTAAGTAGTTGAGGTCAGTTACACAGACACTATATGATCTCCAGTAAAATCCCTGAACATCAAAGTGCCAGTGAGCTTTCCTGGCTGGTAATACTTAGCCTTTGTTGCCGGGAGAATCAAGCAAATCTCCATGTGACTCCACTGGGAGGGGACACCTGGAAGCTTGCACCTTCTTTTTACATGCCGCAGTAGATTAATAACTGGCATGCCTCTTTGGTATACAAAGATACCAAAATTTCAGACTACACACACAGACACACACACACACAAATGGCAGTAAAGCTGGCAAGTTAAAAAAGATAGAATGGGGCCGGGCACACTGGTTCATCCCAACAATTTGGGAGGCCGAGGTAGGAGGATTGCTTGAGCCCAGGAGTTTGAGACCAGCCTGGGCAACACAGGGAGACTCCGTTTCTACAAAACATTAAAAAATTAGCCAGGCATAATGGTGGGCATCTGTAGTTCGAGCTACTTGAGAGGATGAGGCAGGAGGATCGCTTGAGCCTGGGAAATTAAGGCAGCAGTGAGCCATGATTACACCACTGCACGCCGTCCTAGGTGACAGAATGAGATCAAAATAACAAAAATATATAGAATGGGAGAAGACTTATTAAATGAATGAATGAATGAGTCAATACTTAAGTTGTTCCTTATAAACTATACCACAAGGTTGGGTCATCAGACACTGTGAACTCATTACATTTGGGAAGATGGCCAAAAGTATATGGAGAATTGATTATTTAACCTGTTTCCTATTTGACCTGAGAATACCGCAGTGGCAGAGAGTTGCACTTTTTTTTTTTTATAAACAGGAAATAGGTCGAAAAGGAAATCAAGAAGCTGCCCAGTGACACAGTGACCTGACCAATAGCATATAATGTTTTCCCTAGTTCCCATGAGCCAGCCATACCACCATTTACCTCATGGACTGAAGGGCATATGAAACAATGATGAACCATATTGTTGATAGGCATCTAATATCTTCCAGGGACATCTAAACACCTAGTGGCCCTCCATTAAGTTCCCATAGATTTTAAGGGGTCTCCAGAAAGTAATGGATTCGCAATCTTTCATTGCCTAGTTAAGTCCATTTCACAATTTTATCTAAGATCCTTAAGTATTCTCACTTTTTGTTCATAACACCAATTTTTTAAAAGGCACTCTTTAAAAATTACTGACTTTCAACTAGATTTAATTCAATAAATGCTAATCAATTTGTCAGTTGTTAAAAAGAACGGTATTGTATACTCCATTCATACTTCACTGAAAATGAACTTTACACCTTTTAAAGAAATCTCAAATATACAAAAGCTGCGTAACTCCAGAAAAGCTAATGATTCAAGAGACTTGTGTTCCAATGTCAGATCTACAAGTAGCAGTGATCTTCCTTTTCCACTAAAGCAATATGAAACAGTTTGGAATGCAAGGAAAGTTGGCCTAGGTCTTTCCAGCAGTAAACTCTACCAAAAATCCTTAAACTTTTGCCTATCACATAAGCTGAATTTGTAAGTGACTCTGAGAAAGGGAATGATATTAATGCCCAAAGGTACTGAGAATTGCAACAGCGCTTCCCAGAGGGAGACTTATTCCACTTGGTGTAAATGCATAATGGAAGCAAAAGAGCGGAAAGCTTTTGTGCACATTCAACCTACTGACAGATCCAATCTTTCTTTGATTTTACTTTATCTTCCCTTAGCTACCTAACTGTGTCAATGAAAAGTTATCTTGAAGAGTAACATTAAGGAATGAGAAAATCTTCTGAGTCAGGTTTAATGTCAGTGTCCAAAAGTAAGCCTGTTCACTGCCAGGCCAATTTTCCTCAGTCCTGAATGCTTGACACCCTTTCTATTCCAATTGTATAATTGGAATAGTACATTGTAAGTGGCTCATAGTAAGTACACTTATAATAGTACATTTAAGTGTACATTTGGGCATTAATATCATTACCTTTCTCAGAGCCACTTACACATTCGTTTTATGTGAGAGGCAAAAGTAAAAGGATCTTTAATAGATTTTACTGCTGGAAAGACCTACACCAACTTTCCTTTCCAATTGTAAACCTTTCCCATTGCCCAATCCACTATGTAGGAGACAATAAAATGATTTTAGGATATGCCAAGTGAGGACAAGAAGGCCAACCAACCAAATCGTTTACATGCATGCCCTAATTCTTGTTCTTTGCTGAATGCAAAGAAAGAAAATCAGTAACTTTATCACGAATTCATAACACAAAGAACTATGTCACCCGCATTGTGAGCAGAACCTCATGAAAAAATTGAACTCTATCTAAAAATATATATTTGAAAAACTGAGACAACTGAGGCAGCAAATAATCAGAAATTCTGAGAAAGAAATAATAGCCATTGGGAGAATAATAAAGCTGTGAAAATTAAAAGTTGACAGAAGTAAAGAAGTATTCCATTTAGAATTCAATGAACACTTAAAAACTTTGCCCCTCAGGCATATTTTATTATGACTCAGTTTCTCTTCTCTCCTAGCTCTGTCTCTGAAAGCAAACAACTCAAATCTCACATTGTCTAAATGTCTGAGGGGATACGAGATGATCTCCTTACTGGTGTGCCATTTTACCTTTTCAAGGCATTTCTACAACTATAATCTATTTTTTTTTCATTACCCCAGCCCTATGAGACTGCACCATTTCCATTTTAGACAAACCTGGGAGAGTCAAGCACCTTGGGGAAGGTCATTGAGCTATTTTGGGACAGAGCTAAGACTATAACTTACTGTCTTCATTCTTTCCACAACATCACACTCTTTTGCTTATTCTCCTTACCCCATTTCTATTTTTAGTACTGCCCCACTGGTTACTGAAAAGTTTCTACTAATCTAATGTTCTACTCAAAGCATCTGGGGTTGCATAAGGACAGAAACCCACTGAAGGAAGTACAAGGAAGGAGGAATGATAAGGAAACAGCAAGAAATTTCAGTTGCCCAAGGACAGAATTAAATACAGGTGGGGCCCTGAGGACTGGAACTGGAACCAGGCCAGGGACAAAGCTCTCCTGTCCGTCTCTCTGTCTCATGGGCCATCGAGTTGCAGCCCTGTGGAATGTGCATGCACCTTGCCTCACACACCTACTCTAGGATTCTCTCTGTGTACACAGTCTTCCTCAAATCACACAAAGACCAAGGTGGTAATCAAGCTCTCCCATACCTTCCTTGTCATTCTATGCTTCCCAGATGATAATGACATTTGCATCATTACTCAAAGTCTCTCCAGAATGAGTTAGCTGTGTGTTTGCCAGCTGAAGATCTGGCAGGCTTTGACTGAATGTTCACCACTGGCTTGATTAGCTGTGGCAAAGGAAGGGAACGAGGCAGCAGGCTGGAAACCATTCTGGGAAACAGATAATTCATATACTGGGGTATTAAATCAATACCCTGTAGAGCAGCAAACTGCTAGTATTGGCAGGCATCCTCACTGCATTTAACCAGACTTTATGGATGAGAATACTGAGGGCTTTGTGGTACAGTGATTGATCCAGGGGACAGAGATGCACTGTGGCAGTCATGCCTACAGTCCATGCACCTGGGTTCTCAGAAGCCATATATTTTGCTCGGAAACCTATCATCAAACTTGTCCAATCCATAGCAAATGCCATAGCCCTTCTCTCATATCAAGCTATGTACCTTGATACATAAATAGCCATAACATGTAAATACTCGTAAAGTATTTCAGAGAGTCTCAACCCTAGCTGCCCAATAGAATTACCTTAGGAGCTTTTAAAACAAATACCAGTGCCCACCTTAGACCACCATCAGAATCTCTGAGAGAAGCTTCCCAACGCTGGTATTTCAGTATTTGAAAAGCCTCCAGGGTCATTCTAATGTGTTGTCAGAGTTCAGAACCACTGCTTTAGAACCTTAAAATTAATGTGCAGAATATATCTACAGAACTTCTTCAACATCTCTAATTTAATTTGAAGTTAAAATAAGGGAAGACCTGAAATCATTTAACAATATATTTTAGATCTCAAAGTTTTATCCAAATTTTAGGTAGTGACAATTAGAGCTATGATTTATTGATCATCTATCATGCATTTTACAAATATTAGGTAAAATATAAGCTCCATGAAGGCCAAAGATTTGATTTTGTTCTCTGTCATTTCCAGTGTTAAGCACCAGTCCCATGTACACTGCAGATGCTTCGTAAATATCTGTCAAATGAACAACTGCATGAATGGCCTCATTTATCCCTCACAGTGGCCTCTGAAGGTAGGCATTATTATTTCCTTGTCACTGATAAGGATTTTTAAGCTAAGACTAGTAGACTTAAAGCAATATATGTGTTCCACCTATCACACAGATAATGTTGAAATTACATGTCTTTTCAGGGAGTTAATCAAAACTGATCTTTTGATAAAAGATCAAAACTAGTATGTTAAAAAAGTTATTTTAAATCCTACTTCTATTACTTAATTTCAAAAGCTGAGCACACCGCCATCAAATAAATCCCTGGACTGCCCAAGCTCACACTGGACAGCAATCCAAGAACCCAGCTTACAGCAAACGCAGTTTGAACTTCAAAAACCTATCCAATTCAGTGTGAAAGATTTAAGAAATGAATGGAAAAAAAATTAACCACATTTAAGATAAAATATGACACAACGCTTTGTAAAGACATGAATTGGCAATCAGTAATCAAAACCACCTGCAGCATCCCTGAACACCGGCCTCAGTCATTCTTAGTATCAAATGCTGCAACAAGATATCAAAATCTGTACTAAGCTTTTGAAAAATAACATCCAGTTTTTCTGGCCAGTCAGTATGAGGCTCAGGACAGAGGACCAAGGGTAGATGAGCGTGCTTAAAATGAATACTCAGCTTAGGGCACATACAAGAAAACTGAAAAAGAAAGAGCCAGTAGGTGAAAATGAGAATTTCTAACAACATCCTTCCTCACCTCAACTCAAGCAAAAGAGACTGCTAATGAAAACAGAATCTCTAAGTATAAACTAGAGTTGAAATTTCATAATTTGTCAAGATTCAAGAGAGAAGCAAAAGAAGAGAGACGCATAAGAGAGTCTCCGCTTCTTGTTTAACTGAGAATATTTTTGGAAGAATGTTCATGGTATTATCTTCAGAAATTTAGAATGCCATAATGCTAAAAGCCATGTAGATCAATAAAGGCAGAATGAATGACACAAGAATCCAAAGCCCACAAAAGAAGCAAACAACAACATCTCATTACTTGGCTAACATTTACATTTAAATACCATTGTCAGCCTGATGCTATGTTATACGCAATAGCAAGTCTTCTGCCAAAAAAAAAAAAAAAAATGTACTTAGTTCATTGATGTTTATACACATTCATGTGACCCTGTAGGTTTTTGTTTTTAATTCATAACCTTTATTACATCATACTTTAATATGAGCAACAGCCTTATAAAAGAATTATGTGATCTACCAGTTGGGCCCAAAGTCTAAGATGCAGGCTGGTTATAGATAAAGCATCTGGGAATCCATACCTTAACTCCTTCAAGGCACCAGGGTATTATTTAGAAGATTATTGTTCTGGCATCCTAAATGATATCTTGGACCTGCTGTCCAAAAGGCTAATTGAGCAGAGATCAGGGTAAGAAATCAGTGACACAGCAATACTGGTTGAGATCATGCTACAGTTCAACTCTTGCCTAACAACTTAAAACTCTGTACTCTCCCCCACATTCACCCCATTCCTTATCCTATTTTCTGAGCAATGCTTCCATTTTTATTTATAAAACAGGCTGACCAGACACAACAAAACTGTAATATTATTATAGGAGGCACAAAATAATTTTAAATACCCTTCCTTCACCATAAGAGTCTGTTTCCAAACTCTTAAGTTTGGAAGAGTCCTGTTGAGTTTGCTCCAAAATATCTCTTAAATTTATCCATATGCTCCACCCCACTGTTACTACTCTAAAGTCATCATAGTCTCCCACTTGGATTAATGCAAAGCCACTGAACCACTCTCCCCAAACTTACTTTTGTCCCCAGCCCCACTTCACCCTACCCATCCCTGTTCAATCTCTTCTCCACATTACAGCCCAAATGATCTTTTCCCAAAGCACATCTGATCATGTGATTCACCCATCTAAAAATCCCTCCCCCTCACCTCCTCCACTAAAATCTGTAATGGCTTCCCATGGCAGTTAGGGTAAAGATCTAAACCCTTCCCAGGGAGGTCAAGGTCCTGCATGGTGTGAACCCTACCCAGCTTCCTAGCCTCTTCCCTCACCAGGCTCTGCTCTGATGTCCATGAGTGAGTCTCCCTGGTCTTCTGGCAATTCCTTGGTCACACCGTACTCCCTTCTCCCCTACTCCACTCCTACTCTTCTTCCAGAGCTCAGCAAACACTTTACCTCCCTAGGGAGGCCTTCCCTAACCCATGACCAGATCAACTCCTCTTACTATATGCACTTTATCATTTTTTTACAGCTATAAATTGGTATTCACTATCTGATTATTGGATTTGTCTATGTCTCCCCCGTTGCCTGCAAGCCCCATGACAGAGAATATGTATGCTTTAATTACAGTGACCATTCATCTCAACTTTCCTGAGATAGTTCCAGTTTATACCTGCTGCCCTAGAGTACTTAAAAGTGCCCCCCTTGACTCTCAAAGGCATATAACTGAACTAAAACTTGTACGGTTATTCTGGTTTCAGTTCATCATTGAATCCCCTGTAAATACTTTTACAATTATATCAAGTAGTCATTAAAATTGATTGACTTATTAATGAGTACAA
This sequence comes from Homo sapiens, assembly GCF_000001405.40. Lineage (NCBI taxonomy): Eukaryota > Metazoa > Chordata > Mammalia > Primates > Hominidae > Homo > Homo sapiens. Next base: position 69,808,176 of record NC_000003.12, on the reverse strand, counting down.
ATCTTGTAACAGAACACTCTAATTTTATATATATATTTATATATTTTTATATTATATATTATACTATCTATATTTTTATATTTTATATCTGTATATATAAATACATACTATGTCTCATTCTTTTGCCATTTTCTGAGCAATGCTCCCATTTTTATTTATAAAACAGGCTGACCTGTTAAGTCTATATATTATTTACATATTATATTTATATATATACATATGTACATCAGGCAAAAAGCCAAGATCAACCAAGTAGCTTCTAACAAACTGCTAAACAAACAGAGTCATCAAATATACAACCAGCTCTTAACAGTCTCTGGCATTTGCAATCACGAAGCTTAGTTACCAACTATGCTACACTTTAGATCAAGTCTAGAGAAGCTGCCATTGTGTCCATGTTACTCCAAAATGGGTCATTGGAAAATTAACTGCTTTGATGAGGTCAATGCCTCAAAGGCTGTTTAAAGAACATTTTGACCCAAATAAAGGTATCAAAGTGGCTTATCCACCATAGAAGTTCAACAAAAAGTGTTTTGCCTTAATAACTTCACTTAGTAAAAACAAAGTGATATTCGTATGCATGTTGTTGTAGACAAGCAAGACTCATCAAATTCAACCATAGTTGTAGAAGAAATGAAATTACATTTCCATTCATTAATTGGGTTCAACCAACATAAAAGGTCTTTGTTCCACAATTGCCTTTGAGAAGGGAAATGTAAAATTAAGCACAGTTCACGAATCTGCTTTGGGCATTAGCCAATATTTGATCATTAATTCCATCAAAGCAGTAATAGCTTAGGCAAACTATTTTGTAACTATAGTTCTGAATTCCCCATTAATCAGATTAAAGAAGTTAAGAGATCCTTAGGTTGCCAAGACCAGAAAATAACATCCAAGCATTCCTGGGGTTGGGGGCAGACTATCTCATTCTTAACCTGGCTCCAGAAAGCTATAATGTACCACAGGAATTGTAAATAAAAGAGAAGTCAGGCAATAAGACCACCAACCAACATGATAGGTGAAATCATGTAACTTAAGAGAGAATATGGCCTAGCTCAGCCAGAATACCTGCTTGGAGGGCTCCCCCAGCCAAGAAGAGGCAAACCAGTTTAGTTGTTTTCCTATGGGGTGAAAATTCTGAACAATCTACGCAGCCAAGATAAGAATCTTCAACAGGGAACTAGACAGGAATGAATGTGTAAAACCATCTTCAAAAGGAAGCTGTGCATCAGAATTTCCTTGCATTACTCATTTTACTGGCTTGTATTTTTTTCCTGTCTTTAATTACACATGGAAATAAACTAACAATAACTGTGGTTTTCATTACAAGTCCATAGGCCCACAGAGTCTCAAGTGAAACAGCTCAATCTTTATCAGAATCCTGTTATTTATTTTAAAAGCCTCAGAGAGAATGGAGGCAAGAATTAAACCCCTTAGTGGATAGCACTGTCCTCGCCGGGCATCTGACACTTTTGTCTTTCATCTTCAGCACGAATTATTATCCTCATAAATTGCTGCAAACCCAACCTAAAAATTAAGTGGAACTGTTACATATGAGTTCTTAGCCTGAGTTCTTAGTACTGGAGTTCAAGGACCCACCTCTAAAGATCCATAAATCTTATGATTATATGCAAAAATTTGTAATGGTCTAACTACATTTTTCTGGGGAAAGGACCTTTATCTTCAAATTATACATTGGCTCTTGACCCCCAAAGTTAAAAAAAACCTTTCTCATTATCAAATGAATTCCTCATTTGAAAACCAACTCTTCAGTTAAAAATTAGTAAAATGGGCCGGGTGCAGTGGCTCACACCTGTAATCCCAGCACTTTGGGAGGCCAAGGCAGGTGATCACTTGAGGTCAGGAGTTCAAGACCAGCCTGGCCAACATGGTAAAACCCTGTCTCTACCAAAAAAATACAAAAATTAGCCAGGCATAGTGGTGGGTACCTGTAATCCCAGCTACTCAGGAGGCTGAGGCAGGAGAATCACTTGAACCCGGGAGGCAGAAGTTGCAGTGAGCCGAGATCATGCCATTGCACTCCAGCCTGGGCGACAGAGTGAGATTCTGTCTCAAAAAAAAAAAAAAATTGGCTCTGCTAACAGATACCGTGGACCCCAAATCCGCTTTGCAAAGTAGATTTTCACATAATTAGTCTATATTAAATGGACTAAGTCATAACAGCTCTATATCCATTCTTCTAAAAATGCATTTTTGGCCATGCATGGTGGCTCATACCTATAATCCCAGTACTTTGGAAGAACAAGGCAGGAGGATCACCTAAGGCTAGGAGTTTGAGACCAGTCTGGAAAACATAGAAAGATCTTGTCTCCACAAAAAAATTTAAAAAATTAGCCAGACATGGTGGCATATGCCTGTAGTCCTAGCTATTTGGTAGGCTGAGGCAGGAGGATTGCTTGAGGCCAGGGGTTGGAGGTTACAGTAAGCTATGATCATGCCACTGCACTCCAGCCTAGGTGACAGAGAACGACCTCGTCATTTAAAAAAAGAAAGATGCATTTTTTCACTCACCAAATATTTATCGAGTGTCTGTTGCATACCATGCACATATTAAATATTAGAGGATTGTGAACAAAACTAACATTCTTCCTGCCCTTGTAATATACAGCGGAAAAGATAACAACAAATAAGCAAATACACAGATGATTAAAATACATGATAACAAATGTTCTTAATCACTGCAAAAAAACCCAAGAAACCAGCAGGTAGCTGTCATTTACCATAACATGAGATGGTCAGGGAAGGCCTCATTCTTTTTTGCTCCACCCAAGGAAGAAATCCTTAAAAATTATTAGAGGGGGATTCTGAGGTGTGGAATACCTTTAAAACATCAAAGTTACCATTAAAATTTTAGATAAAATTATAAATGGTCATCAAAATATTAGTTATTTTTAAATTCTAGTTTCCTTCCAACCGAGAAGAAAGGATTACAAATGGAGAGGAGGTTAAGAAACACGTGGCAATAGATCAATTATCTTCCTAACTTAAATTGGTTAGCTAAGAAGACAAAGGGAAATTGCAAGATCAGAAAAAAAGTTACAAGGCAAAATTATGTCATATTGTAGACTTGGTTCTTGTTTGTTTAAATAGAATGAACATGAAGAGTCAGCAAATGATTCCTATAACATGTCTCCACAATACACCCAGAAAATGACAAGCTTTATTTAAAAACTAGATTCAGAACCATTAGCAATACACATGTGTGAAAGAGCTGTGCCCTCTATCTATACCTTAATGTGGTTTTATGGCTCTGATAAGCAGGACAAAATTATTGTATAGCCTTTCAAATTCAAGGGACAGGATTCAGCATGATTAAGTCTAGAGACGTCATCACGCTGACCTTCCACAAGACAGCCAACTCCCAGATCTTCCTTCACTCAGAGCTCCCTCACTGAAGATGGTCTCTGCCCCTCCAGGACTCTGAGACCCTGCAGAGACCCTCGAAAGCAGAACAAAAAGAAATTGAAATGATACATGTTAGAGTCAAATAAAAACACTTGCTCTCATATCACAAAAGCAAACCACATCTTGAAACTACCAATTCTTAACTGCACTTTCGTACATAAACTTTCCAAAATTCAAGTAAAAAAATAAACATCCTAATATCAAGTGTATATTTTAAGAGATTTATTCACAAAAATGTAGTAAATGTTGGGCATGGAAGAATTATAGAGAGAAAAGGTTAAGTGTTAAAGAATGTGGAAAAAGAGGGAAACGCCAGAATAAAAGAGGGAGCCTCAACCCCGAAAGGGTGCAAAGGGTTCAAAGAGATTAACTGTTGAGGAAAAGGTGGAGAAGGGAGAGGAGAGAAGAGAGGGAGTAAAGGGGAAAGGGGGTAGGGGAGAGGAAGGGGAGGGAAATGGGAGAGAAGAGATGGGAGGGGAACAAAGGAGAGGGAAGAAGAGAAGAGAAATCTAACAAAACTTGATCAAGAAACAAAATCTTACATTGTCTGTCGTAACAACTGTTCATGTATTTTTAGTACTTCAGAAAGATCACAGAGTTGGCTGTCCCATGAGTCAAAGAATTAAACTATTTAGACATTTCATATACAATTAAACTGTTCAAACATTTCAGACTACAAAGGAGTGACCAAGGAAACTGTGTTTTGTGGTGTTCAACCGCAAGTTCTTCCATAAGCCCAGCACAGGATACATTTGCTTCATGGATTCTTCTATTTAGACAAGAACAGAAAAGAAGAAAAAAAAATTAACAGCCTAGCTAATTTGCGGTGACTATACACTTCTAAAAAAGGGACTTCCCAACATCAAGGAAACTGTTTACCTCTTCCTCACTACAGGAAAATTTGTGGTTAATTTAAAAAAAAAAAAAAACATGAGTTATTAGATCAATGGAGTTCATAAGAATAATAACAGCAGCAGCAATTCTTGTTTTTTCCTAGGAGGAAATTACAAACTGTTGAGAAGCAAGGCCTTAGATGTATCGTTTTGAGATGTATATGTGTGTGCACACACATGTGCCTGTTTTCTGTCATTAAAGAAATTTCTACAATAACAGACACTTATTTTAAAAAATTAGATTTACTTTTATTCAATTCAACCTTTTTTTAATATGTCAAGGCTTTATTTTTCTTTAGGGAAATTAGGTACTTTATGACACTAACCACAAAACCCAGCAAACTATTTCATACCAAAATAATTATTAAAAGTAAACCACAGGGCTCAGGAAATGTCCAAGGAAGAGTTCCTTCTCCAAGCATTAACCTCCAAAAGTCCTCAGAGACACAGAAAAATACAGCCCCTGTTTCTGAAAGGATTTTTACTTGCAATGAAATGATAAAACTGCCATTAAACATAGGGTTTATGAAAAGACAGACAACAGAGTTTCTTAGGGGGTATATACCCAAGAAGACGGCAGTGTACAAATGTATTTTGAATAGTCAATGAATAAATGAACAAATATCAGTGTGAGGCCTCCAAACACACAGCTTCATAAACTGGACTTTTGTATACTGAAGCATATTTTTCATTTCTTATGTTTCATGTCAGAAATGTTATCTTTCATTTCTCAGTAAGGTTTGGCTGGCAAAACAGAAGCTGCATAAGAATATGGACTGTGGGCTGGGAGCGGTGGCTCACCCCTGTAATCCCAGCACTTTGGGAGGCTGAGGCGGGCAGATCGCCTGAGGTCGGGAGTTCGAGACCAGCCTGACCAACATGGAGAAACCCCGTCCCTACTAAAAATACAAAATTAGCTAGGCATGGTGGCACATGCCTGTAATCCCAGCTACTAGGGAGGCTGAGGGGAGAAACTCCGTCTCTACTAAAAATACAAAATTAGCTAGGCATGGTGGCACATGCCTGTAATCCCAGCTACTAGGGAGGCTGAGGCAGGAGAATCACTGGAACCTAGGAGGCGGAGATTGCAGTAAGCCGAGATCACACCATTGCACTCCAGCCTGGGCAATAAGAGCCAAACATCCTCTAAAAAAAAAAAAAAAAAAAAAAAAAAGAATATGGACTGTGGACTAGCACACAGTAGGTGCTCACTAAGTGTTTGGGAAGTCAATGATCAATAATGATTCAATACACAAATGAATGGTGAAAAATGAATGGATGGCGGTTCCCTCACACATCACCTCAGTTTCCCTGTACTTGGCCTGTCACCCACCCCATGACACCATATTTGAGTCTCAAGCCATCAGAATATTATCTGAAAAGTTAAAGGGACTTGCCAAAAACTAACTTTATTTCACTCCCTGGATTTTCATGAAGGAATGGAATAGCTTCAGGGAGAACATCTAAACGCACGAATCAGAAAAGAATTCGAATTCTGCTCCTTGATCTGGCAGGTCCATGACTCTAGGCCAGACTTTCTCAGCCTTGGCACGATTGACATTTGGGGCTGGATCATTGTTGCAGAGGCTGTCCTATGCATTCCAGAATGTTCGGCAGCACCCCTGGCCTATACCCAGGAGATGCCAGTAACACCCTGCGCTGCCAGTTGGGACCACCAAAAACAGCTCTCCAGACATTGCCCAATGTCTTCTGGGAGCTAAAATCATCCTCAGGTGAGAGCCACTGCTCTAGGCAAATCTCTTGGTTACTTAAGCCTTGTTTTCTCATATGAAAATGTGTACAATACCACTTTCCTCAAGTAATGGTTGTAATAATTAAATTACAAAAATAATAATAATGACAATACTAACAATAATAAGACCCATGTTTATTGAGGGCCTATTACATGCCAGGCACAGAATAGAGACAAATCACTTGATTCCCTCCAATCCTCACTACAATCATATAGATTGCAGTTCTCTTACTCCCATAAGCACCCAAATAGCAGTTGTCATAGCCAAAATTCAAATTGAAGTCATCTGACTCCAAGGCCCTGAGCTCTCCACCATACTCTATAGCCCATTTTCCAATGCAGTTTGTCACCCAGTAGGCCCTCAACAAATACTTGTCTCCTTCAAACATTTTTCTTAATTTTCTTTTCTTAGAATAATCACAGTTTGGTATGCCTTCCTACTGCATGGAATCTAAAATGGTCCCTTAAAGTACTCATGTAAAATATATCACAGTTGCCTCTTCCAACCTTATAATTAATGACTTCCTGCTGCCTGGTATATGCAGCAATGCTTCACAACCCTTGATATCTCTTGGCATCAATGCGGTCTATATTCCACTGTTAAGTTCCTAGAAATCAGAGACCACAAATAAAGTATTCATTACGCATTTCTAGGTGATGATGGTGACCCTGGATATAAGAAAACTATACTGTTATTGATTTGACATTGTCACAGTTTACAATGAAAAATTCATATTCAGAATTTTAGAAGGATTTAAGACCGCTGAACTTCAATCCAAGTTGAGTAATTTTATTTTTTTCAGTACTAAATTACATCTAATGAATGGGAGGAGAGGGAATCTATAATTATTTAAGCTTCTTAATTCCAGGCCTTTAGTCCTGATATTTTAGCCACTCGAAACAATGGAATACAAAATGAGCTTGGCTAACGTCAGCCGAGCTTTTTCTACAGGATTTCAAAGATCTTCCAAGATTAGTGTACAAATGAACAACCTTCACGGTAACAGCATATAAGGAATAGCATTTCAAGGTAAAAAAAAAAAAAAAAGTTACACAAGGAAAACAACAAACCATAAAGAGGAATTGTTATTACCCCAATTTCATTTTCTGACTTTTATTCCTATAATGAGAGGTTTCTATAATTTATACATAAGAATATTTACTTGAGGTCTCCTTTGGTAGAATAAATCCTAATTTGTAGGCCATAACTGCCTTTTTCTGGTTCAGTCACTTTCTCTAAGCATGCTGTTTCCCAGTTATAAAGTAGTATTTCAAATTCTATTTTATATTTCCCCTGTGCTACAGAGGGCCCATTCAAAATTTAGAGCTAATAAAAATGACAAGAACAATATCCAATTTTTTTTTAAATGAAAAGGGGGGAGGAACTAATTAAGGCCACGAAGAGTCACCACAAAAGAATAAAAGAGACACAATGACCACTTCACAACACTAGGATGGCTATAATTTTTTTTTAACTGAAAATAACAAGTGTTGGCAAAGATGTGGAAAAACTGGCACCCTGACACATTGCTGGTGGGAATGCAAAGTGGTTTGCCTGCTGTAAGAACAGCATGGCAGCTCCTTAAAAGATTAAACATACCATGTGATGATCTATGGTATGTTTAATCATGTGACCCAGCCATTCCGCTCTTAGGTAAATACTCAAGAGAACTGAAAACATATGTTCACACAAAAACTTGTACAAGAAAGTTCATAGCAGGCAAAAGTGGAAGCAATTCAAATGTCCATCAGCTGAAAAATGAATAAACAAAATGTGGTATATCCCTACACTGGAATATTACTTGTCCATAAAAAGGAATGACCATAAAAAGGTCATTCCTTTCAAGGCTGAATCTTGAAAATATGCTAAGTGAAAGAAGCTAGACATGAAAGGCCACATAATGTATAATCCCATTTATATGAAATGTCCAGTAGGCAAATCCATGAAGACAAAGTAGATTAATGGTTGCCATGGGATAGGAGCAGGGGAGTTGGGACTAACTGCTAATAGGTACGAAGCTTCTTATTGGGGTGATGGAAATGTTTTGGAATTAGATAATGGTGACAGCTACACAACATAGTGAATATATTTAAAACTACTGAAGTGTACATGTTAAAATGATAAATTTCATTTATGTGAATTACATCTCAATTTAAAATTATGCTAAAAGAAAAACATAGAGACTGAAAAACACTAAATTTATAGATGTCTATTTAGTTCCTCACCCCTTATAACCACACAGCACCTGATAGTGGTCCCAGTATAGGTTTCTTTGTGAAAACCCCCCTGCTCTCTTCAGTGACACGAACAACAAAAATGAGAAACCAATGCTGGAAACTTTAAACAATGAGAAACAGTTTACCCTAAGAGCATACTAAGGAGATTACATCAGAGTAGAGAACTACAAAAACAAACAAACAAACAAAAAACAGTAGATTTTTGACCAAAGAAATAAGACAGTGTGAAAGAAACTGTTTTAAAGGGAGGGGGCATTTGTCCTAGGAAAGGAAGACAAAACAAAGGCTAAACTGCTACTGTGTCTTTGCCCGTTTTGGGTGTATAACTTTGTCCATGTAAACAGATAGACGTGGCATCCTACAGGTAAAAAGAATATTGTAAATCAGACTTAAAAACAACAACAACAAAAAGAGCCAATGTGACAATGCTTAAATCAGAGAAATAAAAACTGTAGCAAAGGAAATACATGCCCAATTTTCTGTCAGGTCACTTCCCAGTTATTTCCTCTTTCCAACACTCCACAACTATTTCCTGCTCAGCTTCTTCCTCCCTCCCTGCATTTCTTCATTTAACCATTCGTCCTCCTGCACAGACACACCATTTTTCCTCACTGGTGTCCCAAATCATTAGCAAATCTGCCTTCTCACTATGCATTCTCCCAAGGATGAACCTCACATCCTAAAACCTCCTCTATCTCCTCAATTGTTGCCCAGATATTTTATATTATCATCAGATTATCATCATAATCATTCATTCATTTATTCACTCACTCCCTCAACAAATGAGTGTGTTGGGGAACTAAAGAAACATACCATGGTAATCCAAGTCTGACGCTCTCTCTGCTGTATCAGAACCTAGGGCATCAGAGTCTAGGATGAGACACAGAATTCATCAAATGATCACACAAATAAATGTAAAAGGACAAGCAAATTAAGTAATTAAGTACAAGGCAAAATGAAGGTGATGTATCAGGACCTATGAGTGTATTAACAAGGGGATGAGTAGGAGAGTGAAAGGGTGGAAGGAGAGGTAGAAAGAGGTCAGACTATTCCAAGAAGAAAAAGCAGCATATGCAAAGGCCCTGTGCAGGGAAGGAGTATAATGCATTTTCAGGAATAAATGAAGTCCACTGTTGCTAAAGCACTATGGGGAGGCAATGTGGGAGACCAGGGAGGTTGGCAAAGGCCAGACCATTTGGGTCTTTATAGAAACAGAGGGGGAAGGGTTAGAGGGCTGTTGCAATAATCTACAGAGAGATGATAGTAGCTGGGCTATAAAAATAGCAGCAAAAATACTGAGATGTGGACACACAGTCTAATCATGAAAATGACAATAACAACCACAATCATAATAATAGTAGCAGCTATCACTTGCTGAATGCTTATTAGGTGCCAGGAACCATGCTATGCGCTTTAAATATATTGTGTTTTCCTCACAACAACTCTGAATGATAAATAGTATGAACCCCATTTTGCATGTGACCAAACCAAGACTCCAAGGGGACTAAGTGACTTAAATTACTTGGCCAAGACTGTGCAGCTGACAAAAACATATAGAAGGAATTCAATAAAGTCGATCTGCCTGGCTTCCACTAATACAACATGGTTTCCTCACTATAAAAATAATAAGAACATCAGCTACTATAGAGCCAGGAACTGTGCTAGGCACATTTCTATCAACTGGGCTTTTAATCCTCCCAACTGCATGATGTAGGTAGCATTATCCCCACTTTACACATGGGGAGACTGAGGCAGAACCAGATCAGTTACAGGCCTAAGGTGGGTACACATATCCCAGCTCAGAGTCACAGTACTGGGATTCAGATCCACTGAAGCCAACAAAAAGTTCTGGATGGATTTTCCTCTTCAATTTGAATGCTGATTAATTAAAAATGAAAACTATGAGTCACCACTTTATCTGTGATCAGTTTAAAGCCCTCCATAAACATCTAAAATGTACGTTGCTTCTGCAACCAACATTTATATTTTTATTGTAATCTCTGACCCACAGCACTCAGGGGTCCCAGATTTGTATCACTACCTGTTACCATGGCACTGACTGCAAAAAGATAAAGATAACCTTGGTTATAGATGAAAAATGTTGGGTATTTCCACCAACATGGGTGGAAGAAATGACTTTGACAATCAAGTCACCTTGGGGAATCGTATTATTCTTCACAAAATGTACAGTGAAAGTGTCAGCATTTTAAAATCAAGACTGAAAGTAGATGTTGCTTTCAACCAAAGAGGACAATATTAAACTATGAGAATTCAAGAAAACAGAAAAGAGTGAAATGGGCTCTCTAAATTCTTAATTACTCCACCATCACACCTATACCCCTTCAAAATCTAAGGCAAAAATAATATTGTATTATTTATTTATTTTTTTAGTCCACCAAAATAGAAAATCTTTCCTGTCTGGCCAAAAGAATCCATTTCTTTTCTGTAGTCCATTCATTCCCAGAAAATATTTAATAAATGATCTTTAGTATAACAGTAGATGCTATAATAAGTCTTCATTTATATGATTTGTAGAAATTTCCATCGAGACAAAAAATAAAATACCTCTCTGAATATGTACAATCTGAGAACACAGGTTAAAAAACTCAAACAAACTCCTTGAGCACAAAGATTGGTATTTTAGATTTCCTGTATCACTCTGACCTTCAGCACCTGGGATAGGTGTAATACAATTTTCCATTCACATGTGGCATTAAATTGGCTTGAAGGGAGCGAATTAGAGGTATACCCTCTGGACTAAATTATGATACAAATCCCTGCATACTCCCATTAAAAATAATTTATAAACTTAGAATAGTAGATGTTCTCCTTGCTAATGTATTTAGCTTATGTTAGAGTCAGAAAACCTGCAATAAAAGTCTCCTATAAAATGGGTACAGTTTCTGCAACCTTTATCACACAAACATGGTCTTGGTGCTTCTGCTTTAACCACTTAACCCCTACACATCACTTGTTGGTGGCATTTGCTCAAGTATTTTGAAATGTTTAGTTTGTTGTCAAGGCAATAGATATGGCCTAACAAATCACTCTGTCCCAGGTTATGTTTCATGACTATCTTAGAAAGACGGTGTTTGCACTTTGGGAGGCCGAGGCGGGTGGATCATGAGGTCAGGAGATCGAGACCATCCTGGCTAACAAGGTGAAACCCCGTCTCTACCAAAAATACAAAAAATTAGCCGGGCGCGGTGGCGGGCGCCTGTAGTCCCAGCTACTTGGGAGGCTGAGGCAGCAGAATGGCGTGAACCCGGGAAGCGGAGCTTGCAGTGAGCCGAGATTGCGCCACTGCAGTCCGCAGTCCGGCCTGGGCGACAGAGCGAGACTCCGTCTCAAAAAAAAAAAAAAAAAAAAAAAGAAAGACGGTGTTTGTAAGCTTCACAAACTGCTGTGCATTCAAGCAGCTTTAAATGTTTTACTACCTGCAAAAGTATTTAGGAAATTCCTCATAGGCACTAAAAGAAAAAAAAATCCTTTCAGATTAGATTCCCTTTTCTAAATAAGAAAGAATGCTTTGCCATATTTCTAAAATGAATACAAACTAAACACAATCTTCAAAAATAGCAACAGAGGCCAGGCGCAGTGGCTCATGCCTGTAATCCCAGCACTTTAGGAGGCCGAGGCAGGCAGATCACCTGAGGTCAGGAATTCAAGACCAGCCTGGCCAACATGAAGAAACCCTGTCTTTACTAAAAATACAAAAATTAGCTGGTGTGGTGGCACATGCCTGTAATCCCTACTACTCGGGAGTCTGAGACAGGAGAATCATTTGAACCCAGGAGACGGCGGCTGCAGTGAGTCAAGATTGTGCCACTGCTCTCCAGCCTGGGCGACTGAGCGCAACTCCGTCTCAAAAAACAAAAACAAAAATAGCAACAAAAGATTAAAATTTTGCTTCATAACAGTGGATTTGATTTATGATGTAAAAGACCCCTATATAAAATGTTGTGGTATACATATGAACAAAAATAAATCACAGATAATCTAAAAATGTGTATTATATACTTATATTTTTTAAATACGTGCCTTTGAAATTAGATTGATTTAATATATTAGCTTTGTATGAGAAATATTTTGAAAATATTTGCATGTTGTAATTAGATTTATTTTTTACCTTTTATTTTCTGAAACACGGTTTCACTCTGTCACCCAGGCAGGAGTGCAATGGTGCAAAGAGGGCTCACTGCAGCCTCAACCTCCCAGGCTCAAGCAATCCTCCCACCTCAGCCTCCCAAGTAGCTGGGACCACAGGTACACACCACCATGCTCAGCCAATTTTTAAAATTTTTGTAGAGATGAGGTCTTGTCATGTTGTCCAGGCTGGTCTCAAACTCCTGGGCTCAGGAGATCCTCCCACCTCGGCCTCCCAAAGTGCTAAGATTATAGGAATAAGCCGCTATGCCCAGCCTAGATTTATTTTTAAATAATGTAAGACAGTTCATTGTTTTTTAAAAACCAAATGCAATATTTATATCAAGAGTTATCACGTAATTTTCTATATGTTTTTTAAAAATTAGAAGTGTCGTATATCAGGCTCTCTTAAAAAGAGGCAAATATTAATTTTAATGCATGTTTCATGGCATCTATTAAAATATACTAGTTTGCAAATGAAAACATAATACATCGCTTGGGAGAAAATTAAGATTTTAAAAGAAAATCTATTTACAACAGCATCAAAACATTTAAATAACTAAGAATAAATCTATCAAAAGATGAGCTAACCATTCCACTCCCAGGTATTTACCCAAAAGAAAATACATCATCCACTGAAGACATGTACAGGGATATTCAGGGCAGCTTTGTTCCTCATATCCTCACCTAGGAAAGAACCCAAATGCCCACCATAATGAGTAGAAAGATTGAATAAATTATTCATACAGAGCCTACTACTCACACAGCATCAAAAAGTACAAACTACTGTTACATGTCCCAGTACGAATGTACTTCAGCTATACTGTTAGACTAAAAAAGCTAGTCACCAAAGAACAAATACTATTTGATTCCATTTCCGTGGAGTTCAAGAATAGACAAAACTAAGTCAGAGTGATTGAGGTCAGACTAATGGATTCTTTCGGGAAGTGCTTACTGGCTAAGATGGGGAAAAGGGAATCTTCTACTGTGCTGGAAATGTCCTAATTCTTGACCTGGGCAGTAGCTACATGGATGTGTATCTATGTATAAATAAATAAACAAATAACAAATGCAAAGCAGCCTGGATGACACTGCTATTTTTTTAATGCATGTGAATTTTAACGTGTTGCCATTACCCTGATGACCAAGCTACCACGATTAAAATGCCAACCAAGGACATGAGAATTGGTTCTCCAGCATCTTACCTTGCCATTAAGGCACAAGAAGGGAGATGCACAAAGTTTATAGCCCAGTCCATAGGATCATCAGGTCATCTTTACAGTCATCTATTTGGAAAAGGAACCACGTCAAACAACACAAAGCCATCTGACTTTCTGTAAAAACAAAAAACAATGCTTTAATAAGGGGTCACATTTCTGATGAAGGGCCTGATGCCCAGCTTTGTTCACATACATAACACCACACCCTATTTCGTTAAGCAGACCAACCACAATAGCCACCTGCAAATGTGAAGAAACTTAAATAATTATATATATAGCTCACCTTTTCACAGAAAAAGATTATAGAATATGTGGAAACAGCAGTTTCCCTCAGTGATCTTCCCAATGGGGCTATTTTGCTCAAGGCCAGAAGTTGGGGGAGACTCTGTAGAAAAGATACTAGGAGAGGAAAGAGGTCGTTGGCTACCTGGATGCCACTGCCTCCTATACACTTCATATAGCTGGGGTGACATGGGTGGGACAATGGGTGCCTCGTGAACTGCTCAAATCCCAGTCGAAGAAAATGATGTCAGACGCAAATGGCATTCCTGCCTCATTTGAGTAGGTGTTGCCCCACCACAGCCAGAAAATATTCAAACTGTCTGATTGAGATAGCACAACTTATAAATGAGGACACTGTTGTCTATGTGCCATTATGGATACCAAAATGGCATAAACTGAAGATCATTCCAGTGCTGGCTTGTACACAGGAACTAAGTGAAGCTCACTATCTGGGGCCCAATACTGAGATTCACTTCTAATGCATGTGACATTACATTCATGTTGCCAAGTGTTGGTGAATACATAAAGAAAAGTAGTGTTCTTCCACATAACTGGGTTTTTAAATATATACCTTATATACATTATAGGAGTGGTTCTCAACAGGAGCAATTTTTCCACCCAAGGAACATCTGGCAGTGACTAGAGACATTTTTGGTCATCATAACTTGAGCATTGGGAGAGGGTGCATGCTATGAGCATTGGGAGAGGGTGCATGCTATGAGCATCTAATGGGTAGAAGCCAGGGACGCTACGTGTTCCACAACACACAGCACAGCTACTCACACCAAAGAGCTATATGACCTAAAATGACTAAAATGCCGAGCTTGAGAAATCCTTCACTATACAGCATAGATAGCTATAATGCAAAAATTCAAAGAGGTAAATCAGCAAATTAGAAAATCTGGCTGGGTGCAGTGGCTTACGCCTGTAATCCCAACACTTTGGGAGGCCGAAGCAGGCAGACTGCTTGAGCCTAGTAGTTCAAGACCAGCCTGGGCAACATGGCGAAACCCCATCTCTACAAAAAATACAAAAAAATTAGCCAGGTGTGGTGGCAAGCGCCTATAGTTCCAGCTACTCAGGAGGCTGAAGTGGGAAGATCACTTCGGCCCAGGAAATCGAGGTTGCCCAGGAACGGTGATTGCACCACTGTACTTCAGCATGGGTGGCAGAGGGAGACCCTGTTTAAAAAAAAAAAAAAAAAAAAAAAAAAAAAAAAAGCTAAAGACTTTAGCCCATAAAACAAGAAAAAATTTAAAGTAATAAAGCAAATGAAACATTTAGAAACCCTTTAATTTTCCTCTTCAAATATTATACAGGGTAAAGCTTTAAAAATATGTATGTGTAATTAAAATATGCAATGCTATCTTTTTAGTGGAGGAGAGGAAATTTTTAGTGGGGCAGAGGAATCAATCAATAAGGAATTTTATGAATAAATTGTGATAAAACTATACTATTAAAAAAATTAGCCATTAAAAGTAGCGATTTTGAGCTAAATGTACTGATTTGGAGAGATGCCAATAAAATAATGCCAGGGAAGTCAAGTTACAAGATTCTGTACCCAGAACGAGTCCACTTTTGTAAAAATTAGAAAAACAAATTTCTCTAGATACATATCTTATTTGCATGGGTTGGGGAAGGATTGTTGATATAAACCAAACTCTTAATATTGATTTCTTTAGAAGAGTAGGATTAGGGATGGTGAGTAGGGAAATTAACCACATTTTATCTATACACTATCGTTATTCTTTTGGAATTTAAAAAAAAAATCATATAATGAAAGCTTGAGCTTAAGAAGGGAGGGAAGGAAAAAGCAAGGAGATGAGAGAGGAAAGAAAAAAAGGGCATCACTGTAACAGCACATAGGAAAACTTGAATCTGTTGTTCCTATTTTTACCAGTGAGTGCTGCTGTTGACCAATTTAATGGATAAAAGCAGTGAAATAAAATTGAAGAAAGCAACTCCAAACATCTGGCCCTTTGCTCACTATCAGACCCTTTCAGCTAGCAACACAGTTTAGTTCAGTTGGCTTTGTTTTGTTTCGTTTCTCTGATCCACTACTCATCTTTGAAAATTCTGCATCAGATAGTGATGGAATCAACTAGTCATATCTCTTTTCAAAAACAGAGGCAGCAACTGTGCTAGATGACAGCTTCACTTCTGGCAAGTACAGATGAGGATTCAGCACATCCGTCTCTACTTCAAGGAGCAACTCTCAGGGCACAGCAACTTAATTATCCAAGTCTCATTCCCAGAAAGTTCCCCGAATACCTCTGCTCCACCAGTCTTGGAAACTAAGGCCTCCTCTACTGTTGTTCACTATTATTCAAAGCATGAAACTGCATTTTCCAAGTTCTACTGCACCAATGAAATAGACCCAGCATGAAACATATAGGCAGTTCTAATAATGCCTCTTGCATACACACTTAAATGCACACACAGGGATGTCATGCAGTGCATAGCTTTGAAAAACGCACAACTGCTGCATTCCAGTATTTTGCCTCTACTTGCCATTAGATGCCACCAGCCCTATCTTGAAAAACAACAGAATAATAAGATTTAAAAGAGAAAAAACTGTGCCAGTTTGAACTTTCAAATACCCAAGGTTTTTATATTTTGCATAAGTAGCCATTCTTCTTAACTTGCCATGAAGAGGTCTTGAGCCTCTTGGGTCTCTAGATTCCTTTCTATTGACAGGCATTTTCTTACAACTTGCACATAAAGAATTGCAAAACATGGTTGTTTTTGCTTGCAAAATAATGATTTGTTACCATACTATTAATCCAGTACTAGTAAAATGAACTCAGGAACATGTATTTGTCTTTTCTCTGTTATGACACTCAAACCACCACCACCACCACCACGCTGTTAAGAAGAAAACAACTTGGAGAGCTCTTCAGCGATCATGGAGTTTTCTTTCATCCCAGACTTGAATCACAGTTGCGGAGGCCGGATTTCACAATCCCCCTCAGGGACTGCAAGTGCTGGCGCCAATCACAGCATTTCCCTGATTAGCAAACTGGCTTTAGACCCTTCAAAAACTTTCACATTTGAAATTTAACACATCTATATTTAGAACATGACTTGCAGGACATTTGCTGTACGCAAAATGGCAAAAGAAAAAAGGGCATTGGGACTATATTTGTTCATATAGAAATACAGAGATGATAACTCTAGGACCTCAAACAGAAGCAGAAACCTAGAAATTAGTGTCTCTAAAAAGAAGTTAGTGTGGGAGCTCGCAGAGCATCCACCATCTACGGTCTATTATTATTGGATGCATTTGGAATTAAGAAGTTTAATATCTTAAACCTACAAATACTGTGGCCAGGAAGTTAGTATATCTGCACGAGGACTTGGGTCTTGTATAAGAAATTCGAGAGTGAGAGAAATGAATCTGAATTTCATGCCTAGGACTGAAAGTGGGGTGCTGCTCCTCAGCTACAGCCATTTGTTGATTGGACAGACTAGGGACTTGGAATTTCCAGATTCTCCAGTTTTCCAAGAGAAGCGAGATATAGGGGTTTTGATGTGAAAGTTCCTAATTTTTAAAAAATATTGACCACTATTTCACATTTGTCAAAAACTGATTGTCCATGGGCCACATTCAGCCTGTGGCCTTGGGGTTTGCAACTTCAAGTAAGATGTTGAAATACTCAATGAAGTAGTAAAATTAGTGCCAGGTGATAAATGTGAAATTTTTAAAATTGTGGTAAAAAACAAATAAACAAACATGTTACATAAAATTTACCATTTTAACCATTTCTAAATATACAGTTCATTGATGTTAATTACATTCACATTGTTGTGCAAGAGATCTCCAGAACTTTTTCATCTCGCAAAACTGAAGCTCTATACCCATTAAATACCAACTCCCCTTTTCCCACTACCCCCTCCCCCTAGCAACCACCATTGTACTTTCTGTCTCTATGAGTTTGACTCCTCTACATACCTCATGTAAGTGGATTCATACAGTATTTACCTTCTTGTCACTGGCTTACTTAACTTACTATAAGTGGATTCATACAGTATTTACCTTCTTGTCACTGGCTTACTTAACTTACTATAATGTCCTAAAGATTCATCTATGTTGTAGCATGGCATATGACAGGATTTCCTCCCTTTTTAAGGCTGAATAATACTCCATTGTATGTATGCAGCACATTCTGTTTATCCATTCACCTGCTGATGGACATTTGGGTTGCTTCCACTCTTGGCTATTGTGACTAGCACTGCTATGAACATGGATGTGCAATTATCTATAGGACCCTGCTTTCAATTCTTTTGGATATATATATATATATACATGCACACAAAACTGGGATTACTGGATCACATGAGAGGTTTGTTTGTTTGTTTTTCTGAGACACAGTCTCACTCTGTTGCCCAGGCTGCAGTGCAGTGGTGCGATCTCCATTCATTGCAGCCTCTGCCTCCTGGGTTCAAGCAATTCGCACGCCTCAGCCTCCCAAGTATGTGGGACTACAGGTGTGTGCCACCACGCCCAGCTAAATTTTTTATTTTTAGTAGAGATAGGGTTTTGCCATGCTGCCCAGGGTTGTCTCGAACTCCTGGCCTCAAGTGATCCACCTGAGTTGGCCTCCCAAAGTGCTGGGATTACTATTTTTAATTTTTTATGAACCTCTATGCTCCTTTCCGTAGCAGCTGTATCATTTTACAATCCCACCAACAGTGCACAAGAGTTCCACTTTCTTTACATTCTCAACAAGAGTCATTATTTTTCTTTAATAGTAGCCATCCTAATGAGTATGAGGTGATACTTCTCTGTGGTTCCGATTTGCATTTCTTAGATGATGAGTGACATTGAGCACTTTTTCACGTGCTTGTTGGTCATCTGTATACCACTTCTGGAGAAATGTCTCTTAAAGTCCTTTGCCAATTATTTAATCAGGTTATTTTATTTTTTGTGATTGAGTTGTGGGAGTTCTTTATGCATTCTGGATATTAACCAATTATTAGATATATGATTTGCAAATACTTTTTACCATTCTGCAGTTTGTCTCTGCAGTCTGATGATTGTGTCATTTGATGCACAAAAGATTTTAAGTTTAATGGAGTAGCATTCATCTGTTTTCTTTTTTTTTCTAGCACCTAGAAGACTGTCCTATGTCAATTTTTTATTTTGTTGCCTGTGCTTTTGGTGTTACATACAATAAATCATTGCTAAGTTCAATATCACTATGTTTTTTCCATACATCTTCTTCTAGGAGTTTTATAGTTTTGGGTCTTACATTTAGGTCTTGAATCCATCTTGAGTTAATATTTGTACTTTGTGTAAGATAAGGGTCCAACTTCATTCCATTGCATCTATCTAGTTTTCCCAACCCCATTTGATGAAGAGACTGTCCTTACTTCATTGAATCATCTTGGCACCCTTGTCAAAGATCATTTGACCGTATATGCAAGGGTTCACTTCTGAGCTCTCTATTCTATTACATTGGTCTATTTGTGTGTCTTTATGTCAATACCACACTGTTGTGATTATTGTAGTTTTGTAATGTGTTTTGAAACCAGAAAGTGTGAGTCCTTCAAATTTGTTCTTCTTTCTCAAAATTGCTTTGGCTCTTCAGGTAAATGCAAATTTTTGGTGAAAGACTTCTGGGTCAAGTTTTTCCAAGGTCCAAGATGTTAAGGGTTCTCTTTCAATCTTCTACCACTAGTAGTATACAGAAGCACTAACTGCAGAAGAATTTACAGACATAATGCAACTTTCCAGAAATTTTAAACTTAGCATTAGGTATATAGCATACTCAAAGTATCGTGGCTTCTCTGAGAGAGAAAATAGTGGTTATCACAAGGACAAAAAACCAAACACCGCATGTTCTCACTCATAGGTGGGAATTGAACAATGAGAACACATGGACACAGGAAGGGGAACATCACACACCAGGGACTGTTGTGGGGTCGGGGGAGGGGGGAGGGATAGCATCAGGAGATATACCTAATGCTAAATGACAAGTTAATGGGTGCAGCACACCAACATGGCACATGTATACATATGTAACAAACCTGCATATTGTGCACATGTACCCTAAAACTTAAAGTATAATAATTAAAAAAAAAAAGAAAAAGAAAATAGTGGTTAAGAAGACAGGTCCCAGAATGAAAGAGATCTGGGCTCAAGTTTTGGCTCCACCACTGCCTGTCTATGCAGCCTTGTGAACCTTATTTAACCTCAGTTTTCTCATCTTCAAAACAGAGATAATGACAGCATCTCCTTCACAGGGTTGCTGTGATGAATAAACAGAACAATGCAAATAAAGCACTTAGCACAGCGCTTACCCAGCACACAGTCAGCACTCAGTAACTTCTGGCTACCACCACCATTCTTGTTATTTATGCCTTTCAATAATAACTATTTTATTTTTATCAGTGGTGTAATTTTTGTAGGATAAAATGTAATGTTGGACACGTAGGAGATCCATGTGAAAACAGGAATCTTTTATGTATTAAAACATGAGGCTCAATGTCAGAAATAAGGAGCAGTCATACTGAGATCAAGAAGAGAAAAAAAGAAAAAAAGTGAGGGTAATTTATACTGCCCTAATGAAACCTCACACTGACTCATCCAAAAGGCATTTGGAATAGAAAACCACGGCCAGATACAGATTCAACTTAATGCTTTACAAATTCAAAAACCAAACACCAAGACTTTTCAAAAAGTGGAAAGAAAGAGAATCCTTCAATTTGGTCTAGTCTAGCCTGTACTACTAAGAAACAGAGAGGAACTTGGAACAAGATCCTTTACAAGTTAAACCTTGATCTAGTCGTTTATTCATTAAAAAGCCAGTTTCACACATAACTGCTAACATGAGAATACAAGAAAACTATCAGGTCAATTGTGTCATGAGTCTCAACTATTTAAATCTGCATCCATTCTCACTTTGGAAACTACCCTGATTTTCCTCTAGGTTTCACACTTCCTTTGGTGAAGTTCAGTCCCCCTTAGAATTCAGGAGTGGAACATGGTTCTGGTGTCTATACTAACCAGCCTAAAACCCATTCCTTCATCACATGCACTGGCTCATGAATGGAACATGACTTAAGTGTGGCCAATAAGAACGGTTTGAGCTTCTCCTTTGCTATCGTGGAAGAGCTCCCAGAAATCAATCTCTCTCTCTCTCACCACATGCGGGAGAGAATAAGCAGCCCCAGGAGTATTTGGCAGACATCTTATCATCACGAAGTGGAACCAGCAACACTCTAAAAGTGACATAACACCATGAAGGCAGAGTGGATTGGATGAGAAACCAGGTACATGATGATAACTCCAGGCCTATGGTCAATCCAACCATGATACTCAAAGCAAGTCCAAAAGGATGTGGACTCTTCACCTAAATGAATGAATAAATCTCCTTTGTTGCTGTAGTTGGACTTTCGGTCATTTCCAACTGAATGGATTTTTACCTAATATGCTCCTCCAACCCTAATTTTAAAGAAATTGTTTTTAAATGACGGTATTTCCACGGATGTATGCCCCAGATAACTGGGCTTCAAAAGGATAAGCCCATACAAGCAAACACGTCTCATTTTCCACAGTCTTATATAAAATCCATAACAATGTTACTCGAGGATTGTCACCAGTCATCTCGGTGCAACCCATAAGAACTTGAAGATATGTCTCCTGAGAGCAGTAAACACTTTTTAGATGCATTTCCTTTCCTCTCCTGAGTAAGCTAAGGGTATTTAATCTGTCCTAAAAGGATATACATTCATTTTACGATGTTAACTAAATTGAAGGAACTCTAGATATTTGATATGAACATTATGAAGACCTTGAACTTCAAAAGCGTCTTACCTCTACAGAGCGCAAAGGACTTCATACTCATTTACTGTCAACAATCCCGTAAAGCAGACAGAAGCAGGGATTCATGCCCTAGAGGCAACAAGAGGAAGCCACTGACAAAGGTCACCAGGCACCAGGCAGTTGCAGAATGAGAAAAACATCAGGTAAATTGTGGCATGAGTCCCAACTATTTAAATCTGCATCCATTCTCATTTACTTTGGAAACTACCCTGATTTCCCTCTAGGAGTCAAACCTCCTTTGGCAAAGCTCACTCCACCTTAGAATCTAAGAGTGGAATGTGCTACTTAAAGCATACGCAGGAAGCACTCAAGAAGTGTTAGGTGCTGCACTGCTTTTTTTGTTCTCCAAACAGATGTTAGAATGTACAATTTCCAATTTATTTGATCACTGAACCTTCCTTTTCCCCCATTAAGCCCTATATGGCATTATTACCCAGGTGACCTTTGAACTCTAGTTCTTGAACTATGTTTCATATCCCTCTTCCTCCTTCATCCACGGTACAGATCACCCTGGATGTGTCTACCTGTCCATCTCTTTTTCTCTAGCCCAATCTTTCTACCTTTCACCTCCCACGATTCCTTTTTTGCTCCCTTGACCATTCAGTAGATGGACATGGTCTCAGGCAAAAGGCCATGCTCAATTTCCCAAGGATGAACTTTCTCAGGTTGTATTTCCCTCTCACTCAAAACCTCAACTCATAAAAATAAGAAAAGACAATCTTCAGGTCATGGAGCCTAAATTACTAAGCAAAAACCAGTTCTGATGTGATTTAAGGAAAAAGCAAAAACCAGTTCTGATGTGATTTAAGGAAAAAGCAAAGCAAAAAAGGCAGTAACAACGTGCATTTCTGTCAAAGAGTATGGTACTATGGTTAAATGCATGAATTTGGGCACCCAAGCAATCAGCATTCAAGCCCCACTTGGATTGCTTACTGGTCATGTGACCTGCAGATGAGTATCTGTAAAACTGACATGAAAGATGGTACCGAGCTCATGGGATTGTTCTGATTTAAATGAGATAGTGCACAGAAGGTACTGAGCAGAGTGCCTGGCACATGGGAAGCATCAGTAAATGCTCACTACTGCTGTTAAATTACTGCTGCTGCTGCTGCTGCTGCTTGCTGTTATTTCAGGACACCACTGCCGCAGCACGCCGTGACTCACTGCTCCACTCAGCTTGCCTGCCTCAGCCCTCATGAAGAATGTTCAAGTGCCCGCAGGAGAACCTGAATTATGCTCAGTGCCACACAGATCAGCCCAGCTCTGCAGCCAAAAGTTCTCCACTAATACAAAGCTTTCGTGGAAGACACAGCAGAAAGACAATCATCTTGTGCTATTTAAAAAAAAAAAAAAAATCCAACTGCAGCACTTTGACAAAGATAACAAGGAAAATAAACAAAAGGCAAGCAGCTGGCTGCAGGGGCCCACAGTCCACGCCAGTCTCTCCAGAATGGGACACAGGACCCTTGAGATTTCCCTGGGGATCTTCAATGAAACACAAACCTTGGATCTGACCTTCAGAAGAAATCACCACAATAGTTTCTTAACTTTATGACACTTAGATCATCATTTTCCTATTTTAAGAAGTCCTTTATAAAGAAGAATCTGCCTCTAAATTCATTGCCTGGCTTAATATATCTTCAGGGAGTCTCTATCCAAGTCACCTGGAAAAGTTCCAATCTCTAATAATCCAACTAGTTATCTACCATGGATTAGAGTGGAGACTAGCTGGCTAGTTCAGCTTCCTCAAAAAAGTAATTTCTCTAATATGGGGGAGGGGGAAGGAGGGAGGGAATTTACCTTTCAGGAATATCTTCAGTTAAAAACTTTGTGTTTTTAAAAATCCATTAAAGCTTCTAGCTTTGTAACTGTTTTCTATACTAAGAGATCTCAAAATCTTTGACACTAAAACTCAGGGAGTCATTACTACCTATTCTGAGATCACAGAGAATCCTCAAAATGTCTTCTCAAAGGATTTTCATTCCTCCCTTCTCTTACCCCAAAAAGTAGCCTCTATAAACGTTAGAAATGTTTGCATTAAATTCTGGGATTTATAGTAAGGAGGAGTATTAAGTTGCTTCTGAAAAGCATTGATTACAACACCCACTAGCAAAGAAAGCCAGAGTTATCCTGAAAAAAGAACAAACAGTATGTTGTTCCTTCCTGGAGATTTGCTATGGAAAATAGTGGGTATTTAAACAACAACAACAACAACAACAACAACAAAACAAAAAGCAACTCTTCCCCAATGGCTCCTTTTATACAGACCACAAAGGAAAAGATGGAATTGTGATATTGCTAACATTAACAAAAGCCTTTCATCGCAAATAAAAAACACAAGCCATTAAAATACCCCTTAAAATAGTTGTCTCTAATATATTTGAAAGGGGAGAAGAAAGAGAGACAGGAAAGAGGAAGGGAACAAAAAAAGACAAAATTAAGTTGAATCTTTATCCCTATGCTGACACATTTCAGACCATGGTTCTCAAACTATAGTGGGACAAAAATCACAAAGAAGCTGAGCGACATGCAGATTCCTGAAAACCTCAAATCAGTAGAGACAGCTGGAGTCCAAAGACCCAGGAATTCCTATTTTTAACACATCCCCAGGTGACCCTGACACAGGTAACTCTTAAACTACACTTTGTGAAACACCACTTTTAGAAATACACATACACGAACAAAAAAAAACATATTCTGGATAATTTAAAACATCCTCTATCAGAACCTTGCAAATAAGTATAATAAAGTATACCATTAGTCTTTGGGCAGATCATTCGATTAGAGTAAGTAGGTCCTTAGTCATTATCTGTGGTGCAGAAAGCAACATAACCCAACTTGGCATTTAATAAAAGAGAAATAATCTCCTTTATTAAATATATAAATTATATATATATATATATCCTACATATCATATATAAATATCTCCTTTGAATACGTGCACACACACACATACAAACACTTGACTAAGTATTCTGTATTCAGATAAAGCCCCTTACCTTTCTTTTCTATTTGTTCAACAAAAACTATCAGTCAAGAATAACTAGGAATATTAGAAGAGTCTATCACATTGTTAGAAATCTAATACTGTACAGATGGGCAAGAGAGACAAGGAGCATCCAAGCAAAAGGTAATTTCAGGTATCTCAACTTCCCCACAATCTGTCAGAGGATACCTAGGTCTCTACTTCCAAACCAGTATTGTTCTCACACCTGGAAAAGAACCTGTCTGTTCACATGCATTAAATGAACTGGAATATCACTCCAAGGGAAAATCAGAATTTCCACCTCCTGGAAAGGATGGAATAAGGTCAAAAGGTGTTTATCAAGGGAACTGGTCTGTTCCTCTCATCCTACAGTACATTATACTGAAAGCAGTAAAAATTAGATGAGAATAATTTTTCTTATCACTAGTAGGAAATTATCTGGTGATGTTTAGGACTCTATTCTCATCTCTGTTAAGGAAATGTGTTAATTTTTATGTTCTCTGAGGCATGTGCAAAACAAAAACACTCACCTAGAACATAATCCCCTCAGCATTTGCCATTTGTAACTCCAATTAAGAGATTAAATATTCCTAGATTTACTGAAGTAGATAGTAATAAAGGATATTCAAAATTTATGAAAGGTCTGATGGTTACTTTGAAAGAACTAAAAATCCTGAGAAATAAGTATAGGTAGAGAATATTTAATCAGGGAATGCTCCAGAAGCAAGAAATGGCCTACAATAAAACAAGCTTCAAATAGAGAATACTGCCATGTGCAAACATTGCCCTAAAAACACACCCTCTGTAATGCTGCTTGGGTTTAGAAATCAGACAGGACTGGGTTCGAGTCACAGCTTATCACTTAATTAGCTTTGTGACTTTGAGTAACTCACACAACCACACTTAATCTCAGTGTTCTCATCAATTAAATGGAAGAATAACAGCAACTAATAGACTTGTTGTGAAGATGAAATTAGATAATGCATGCAGAGTCGCTAGCACATAATAAGCATTCAATAAATGTTAGCTACTATTATTCTATTATAAGGGTCAGGTGTATGGGTATAGGGCTAATTTGGCCTTGGCATCCACTGATTGATAGAGATGATAAACAAAAATTAAGAGCTTATGAAGCCACAGGTCAGGGGGCCAAACAAGTAATTCAAAATGGCTCATGCCTTATTTAAAAAGTCAGCTGTACAACAACCTCTCTAAATTATTATAGCAGACTGAGATTCTTATAGGGCAGGGCCTCTGTGTACAGCCACTCAGGCTGTGCACTGCACAATGCCAGGGGCTGCCATTCCTAGGCCATGATCTGAGCATGCTCTCTGCAGTTGTACAATGTTGCAAACCTGTCTGGAGTCTATCAACTACCTTCTGGAGATGTTGAACCCTAAATCTTTAGTGCAATGAACTGTGTTAGTGTCTGTTCCAAATGAACTTAGGAACTCATCAACGAGACAGGCAATCTATTCTGGATCCTTCAGGAACAGAGCTCAGTAAAGGGGTAGAAAGTACATTTAGAAAAAAGCATGCCAAGCCTTCGACAAGAGATATGCTGTTCCTAACTGTGTTGGAATCACTCAAATTCAGAAAGCCTGAACAGCAGGGAGCTCAGACTAACGCCTGCCAACACCTGCTGCTGTGGCTAGGAGGTACAGGGACTGCTTGGGAACAGAGATCTTGTTAAACATAGAGCTTTCACCCTTTTCTTATTTGCATAAGCAGTAGGACCAACCTTTGGGGGTGTCAAAATCTAATGAGAATTTGATCAGAGTTAATGGCCCTTTATCGGAAAAATACAGTATACTCCCACATTTTGTACACGTTTTCAAAAATCTAAGCAGGGATGACTTCATAGGCATGAGATCTATGCAGGTGCACAGGGCCCTGGGCTTGGTTTAATGCTCGCTGGTGTCGTCTTTACAATCATAACAAGGGGCTCCACATGTTCATTTTGCACTGGGACCTGCAAATTTTGCAGCCAGTTCTGAGTCTAAGGAGAACAAAAAGCGCCATGATAAAGTACATTTTAGTTGCATGTATTCAGGCTAATAAACATTTGGAAGTCTTATGTAACAGACTTTATCTGAGGGGCTCTTTTCTGAAAAGATACATGATTATGGACCCAACATTAACAACCTGGTCACGTATTTGAAAAGAACATGCTCACCCAAAGCAGAAAAGATCTGTCTTATCACTTAATAGTATTATTTTTTAATGAACTGGACACCAAATAGCTACAAATGAATTATGCTTCCAAAGGAAGCCACTGTATTAACAACCAGGTTTCTCCAGAATCACAGTTACTACTAAAAAAAAAAACAAAACTCACTATTATGTGGTTTTCTAAAAACTTCAAAGTAACATGAATGCTAAACAGGAGAATTTGCTATGTCCCTCATTTACCTTTGATAAACAGTGTCACCAATATCTAGACATCTTGATTTCAGTGGTAGGTTGTCTCCAAAGATGGTCACCAATGGACAAGGCCTCCCATCATTCATGCTTTGTGCAGTCCCTTCCCACAGTGAATCTGGTCTGGAGCAACTTGCATTAACTAACAGAAAGTGGCAAGAGTGATGTGCTAGCAACTCTGGACCTAGCCTTAAGGAGACTAGTAGCTTCTATTTATTCCCTGTTGAAACAATCTATAAGGAGTTCTGAGCTAACATCTAATTAGTCTGGTTACCCTGCTAGAAAGGCCACATGGAGAGGCCACAAGAGGTCCTGAAACCAACGGAGAAAGAGAAAGTTATAGCCATCTTAGAGCCCAAGGCAGGCTTCAAGATGTCTCCAAATCCAGCCATCATCTAATGGCAATTCCATGAGAGACCCCAAGCTAGACCAGGAAAACTGCTCCCCAGTCAATTATCAGAACTATGTGAGATAAAACAGTTATCTCTTTAAGCCACTCAATTTACCCAGTAATAGATAACTGAAATAAGCTCTAAACATTCCATCAAGAAAACAAAGAACCCACAGGGTGAATCTAGCTCACAGATGACTGCTCATTGGCATGCATCTTCTTTGTAATTTTATATTAGGTAACATTTAAAAATTGAGAGATTTCACAAAGAAATTTAGATTTCTGGCATCTAAGAAATCAAAACACCAGCCACACCGGACCTATAGTCACAAATGGTAACAACCAGTGGTAGAATAGTAGTTATCCCTCTAGACAGAACTCACTGTCTCGTCCAGCCTAACATCGTTTCCACGTGGCCCATTTTCCTTCAGTTGCATTGCCCTGTCTCTATTAGATCATCTTTTAACCCCTATAGTACTTACCAGACTGCATGGCACACAGCTGACCCTCAATACCTCTTTGTTGAGCAACTACACAGAGCATCAGCTTCTCTTATCAGCCCCATATTGCCAAATATCCCTTCTTCCCAATCCTATTGTTATGCCCCTACTCTCAGATTATTGCAAGAGCCTCCCAAAGGTGTCCTAGCTTCCATGTTCTTTTTCCAATCCATTCTAGTCCACAGCTACTAGGACAACCCACTTAACACAGACTTCAGCATATCATGGATTTCCCTTTAAAAGACTTCAGTTGATTTACCGGTTGTGAATTATACTAAATGTTACTACTGGGTGACACTGGATAAAAGATACATGGATATCTCAGTACTTCTCACAACTGTGTGTTAATCTATAATTATATCAAAATGAAAATTTTAATTTTAATTTTAATTATATATATTTTTTGACCCCCAATTTCACTTCTATCGACATTAAGTTTCCGTGAATTTTTAAGTCTTCAGTTGCTCCCCATCACATACAGAACAAAGTTCAAGCTCGCTCAGCCAGAATTTCAAGGGTCTCCTCATTTTGACCCTTATCAGAAACAGTAAATCCTGAAAACTTCTAATGTACTTTGCACACTACATGTGTGTGATAAGCCTGGGGCCATCCTCCATTATCCTGTAAATCTTCTGCATTCTCCAACATGGAGTTCACAATATCTCCCAGCAGAAATTAATCTTTCCCTATTCCACACCCCATCATATTTAACTTGCACCTTCAGTGTGTCATAGCCACCCTTGTTTCAGAGGCATTTTTGTGTATGTTTGTAGTAAGGATGTAAAGACTGTCTCCTGCTCTTATCCCAATTTCACCCAATTTCACAGAACAAACCAGTTCAGAGAAGTTAAAGAAAATCACACAGCATCGGGGTACACCTTGAGATGTCTCTTTCCAAAAATCTCTGCACCTTCTGCTATGCCTCAGAATGACTGTTAGCTAAAACAGTCACCAACAGAATTCTGCAAACATTAGGTGGTGAGACTATCTTGAATTAAACTGCAGCAAAGGACAAATATTTGCACTTCATGATACCCCGAATAATGTTACCTTCAAAAAGAGTGAATAAACATTTCCCTTCTGTAGTTTTAAACACAGAATAATTATATTCTTCACAGATCAAAAGTCATCATAAAGGGTATGACATTTTCCATCATACATTCCCTGCTTTTACTTGCACATCAGCCGGCGAACACCAAATGGAATTTTCCGCACTTGCTCGAAACCCAGAGAGGTCCACTGAGAATTTAGTAATAAGGAAGATTTGGAATAAATCTGAGAGAAAAAAAAATGGTTTTTGCAAGTTGAGAATTTTAATCAGGGAAAAATGTATTTAACATACTTTAAAGACTACTCAGAGCTATATGTGTTAGAAGGTATCTAAGAAAAATATAGTCAAACTTTAAGCACACTTCATACTGTATATGTTAATAAGAAATCATAGCTTGTTCTCCCTTCTTGATTTACACTCTTCTTAAAGTGTAAAGCAGTTGTGATGCCCAGAGGAGCGGCAGCCATCTTGCAACCATGAGGTGACAAATATTAGAAAAAAGTCAAGACAAATCACTGAGATGCTGGTTCTGACATCATGGAGCCACTAAACAACGGCAGTGATTACAGAGCCCTGGGCTTCTTGTATGGAGATAAATAAATCCCTATTTGTTTACACAACTGTTAATTGGCAATTTAATTTCATGCTTGAAAATGCAAACCTGACTGAAACACAGGTTCTACCCCAAGAACCAGACTCGTTCTAAAACAGTCAAATGACTATACTCATCTATTATACCCCATAAACATCCATCTACTCTACCACATATAGGAGGAAGAATTAATATTCATCCTCCCCAATCTGTTTTGTCTACCAAGAGCCTCATCTCCATGAACAGCACCATTGTTCTAACCACCTGCCCATGTGAGAAATCTAAAAGACATCCTTCCCTCCTTGCTCTCTCTTACCACTTAAGTCCAACGAATCACCCACCCTACGATTCTCCTTCCCTGATATCTCTCAGCTCCACCTCCTCTCCATCTCCACAGGCAAGTCCCGAGTGACCCCAGCTCTTGCCTACACTGCTCCTTATTGGTTTTCTTTGTCACCATCTCCTACAATACATTCTCTGTGGCACCGCCAGAGTGATCTTTCAGTAACACGAATAGAATGCCCTCCCTCCCACTTAAAACCTTTCCATTCCTCTCTATTGGCCTTCTAATAAAGCCCACCCTTCTTACCATGGCTTAAAAAGTACTTCATTCTATGGCCCCAGTGATACTGAACTTGAATTTATCTTCCCTTCCAGGTTCCCGCCTTCCAACCATGGCATACTGTTATCAGAGATATGCACATGCCTAGCGGAAGTTCCCCCATATATTTTTGATGGGATAACTTGACTTGTCCTTCTAGATCATATAATCTAGGAATTTCATCAGCACTTCCATATTTTGACTTGAAAGGATCTGACATCCAGGCCTTGATGCGACCATTAGCACTTCTCTGCACACCTGACTTCTCAGTGCAAGCTCCCACCCTTCATTAAAACACAGAGGACTTCAGGACCAATGCTACTCAAAGCCCTGCTTTTCTCAAACATCATTTGTACTCTGTATTATAATCACTGTTTTTTCTTCCCTAGTCACTTGAAACAAAAAAGGAAGTTGAACTTAAAGATATATTGCAAAACAACACACAGGTTTAAATATGGATATTGTAGCAACAATGACCCAAATGACTAAAGTGGAAAATGTTACCATCACTGGAATCAGGACTTATTCATTTCCAGTGATGCCACAAACAAGATATAACATTGAAATTTAGACCATGTCAAAACTTTACTCCATGAACATAATCTCAGTTAAGATAGGAAATAGACTTGACTTAAACACAGTTTATATGATGACTTTTTAATTTTTTTTTATTTTGGAAATTTTAGTTCCTGATGTTTCCTATGAGTCATTTTCCATGAATATAAAACTGTCCACCCAACACTGACCCTGACTAACTCTGATCTTTTGTGATCTGCAAAATTGCAAATGCATGATTATAAGACTTTTACTGGATATTTTTCAATTTGCTGAAACAGCTCCATTTATAGAAATACACCAACAGTAACATTACTCTCAACATTATTTTCTACATATTAATCCTTTTTATTTCCACAGAGTGTTTGTGGAATTCACTTCGAATATAAGTTCTATATAAGCCAGAGGCATATTCATAGTAGGACTAAAAATAATGGAAATAATCATAGTAATGGTAGTAGCAATTACAAGAAAAGTCTTTGCTATGAGTAGTGAGTATTTTCCATGTTCCAAATCCTATGCTGAGCACTTTACATATGCATTATCTCACCGATTTCTCATAAAAATTGACATTATAACTAGAATCATCCGCATATTACAAAAAGAGAAAATTGAAGCTCAACATACTTGGTACATTATGAAGTCTGGTTCAAGAACTTGCAGACTAACTGTCTGCAAGACCCAGACTTCTTCATCGCAACAAACGTATATATAGCACTTACCATGAACCACAAGTTGTTATCAACACTTGACACATACTAACTCAGTTAATCTTCATAATAACCCTATGTAGCAGGTATTATTACTATCTCCATTGTGCATATGAGGAAACTCAAACACGCAAATGTCAAGTAACCAGCCCAAGATGGCCCCACCCCTGAGTGCAAGTCCAGGATTCAGAAGCCAGGCCCTCCAGAGTCTGTGCCCTTAACTATTATCCTATGTAGTGTACTATCCCCTACCTATAAGGCATTTATAATGTGCTGGGCATTGTGACACTTTTCATATATTATCTCATGAAATCCTCACAATAATTCTGAAGGTAGCTGGTATTTTTATCTCCACTTTACAATTCTGAGGCTTACAGAAGTTAATTCAGTGGCCCAGGGTCACACAGTTTACAAGTGCCACATTGGTGAATATAAAGTAGCAACTTCTAAGTTTCACTCTCCCACTTCCCTAGTTATTTTCCTAAGGCATGAATGTCTGGGAAATAGCATGCATCAGATTTTCCACCTCTTTAAAACTCTTCAGTTCATATAATTTAGGGTGTGACTATTCATAGATACCTTTGAGCTAATCTTCTGGGAGCCAATGTAACCGCAATGCACACTGCAAAACAATGCACGCTTTCTCTGTAAATTAAAAATGCCAACCGAGCTTGGGAAAAGCCCATCTTTTGATATGAACAATTAGGGCAGTTTAGTTTTAGAAATAAAGAAAGTCCACTGTTCCTGCTTTTCTTTTTTACACACAGTAGGTAACTCTGCTCTTTCTTCTACAAAGAGTCCCAGTCAGTTTTCTATGCCTACCCTCTTAAAAGTTCCATTACACAAGCCAAAACAAATCCCTCCAAAAAAGGATTATGAATCCTATTAATGAAAAGTGGTATTTTCTCTATTCATTTTTAATAAAAAGAATGGGGGATCCAAATGGCATTAAAGCTCATTTCTGGAAACAGAATTAAGAAATAAAAATGCAAATATTGTAAAATAAATTGACAAATCACAGCCCCTCGTGTCAAGCCTATACCAATTAAAGAATGCTGATTTGTGTGTATCATTGGGTTTTGGTTTTTGCAGAGACAACCCTTAATAAAATTCCAGAAGGCCACAGACTTGGTGATGTTAGAGACAAGAATCACATCTTCTGTATCCTCAATAATACACAAAACCAATAACAGTTGTTACCCTCAGCTGAGACAGGCAGAGACATTTCACATAAATAGGTGAGAGAAAACCAGTCTTCTTTCCAGTCATTTACCCTTTCACTTATGGAGTCATACACTGCCTATCTGTGTTACAGCCTGGCTTAACCTCTGAGAATAAAATGGAGAACAAAACAGCTGTGCTCCTTGGCCCTTTGGAGTAGGGAAACAAACACTGAACATACGGATGCATATAGAATAATTATGTAAACAGCATGAAGGATAAGATTAGGAAACCATAAAAGAAAAGCATGGTAACCTAATTCAGATGAGGGGCAAGGAGGTGGGTTGGGAAGCAACCTTTAAGTGGAGACTAAAGGATGAGTAGAAAGAAAACAGAAGAATGGCAGGAAAATGTTCAAGATGGCAGGAAGAATGTGTGTGAAGGCCTGAGGTGTAAAATAACTGAAAGGAAGCAATGCAATGTGAAAGTCAAGGGCTCTTGGTTCCTGTTTCCAGCGTCAACTTCTGAACCTCAGTTTCCCCTCCAGCTCTAACAGTGCTCATTGGTATGGTCATTTGCCCCCTAAGCATTACCACAGGACAGCTGAGGTGCTAACATGCTAGCCTCCTCCTTCCGAGAGCCACGGTGCTGGTAACCATGGCAACTTTCCTCAGCAGCAAGGCCTCTAGCACCCCACACCCCAACATACACAGGGAGCCTCAGTTGAAGGGGAAAGTCTGGGAAAGTGGCAGCCCTTCTACCTCTTGGAAAGTTGCTTCCAGAATCTTTGACCTGGAAACTTAGAATACTCCTAGGCTGCCCAAGAAGCCAGTTAACAGAACACAAGGAATACATTGCGTCAGTGGATAAAATGACTAGGGCTCCACGTGACTCCCAACAGAGTTCATACTGGAGGCCTGAAGACAAGGTAAGACTAAAGCAATACTTCTCCACAGAGGAAATACAGAAACTGACTAGCCATCCTGCTACCTGGGGTACCAGTCTAGAAGGAGCACTATAACATCACAGGAAGTAGAAGAAATATTCTGGTGGAAGGGAGAAGATTAAGATGTCCAAAGGACATTCTTGAATAATAAAAGACGGTCCCTAAACCATCTTCTAATAAGAGTTACTTACCAGACCTTGGTGTGCCAAACATCATGATGCAACTTTGGGGCAGAGCCAAATTGCTCAGGGCTGTAGAAGAAAGCCTGCCAGGCCTCTGGCACCTCCTAGCATGTGTGGCACTAGGTCTAACTGGTTGTTGAAAATATTAAACATTTTTAAAGGATATTGGTATGAAGACATACCTGAATATTAGTCTGCCTGTGCTCCCATGGGCCTGCACCTAGTCATGGCTTCTGGCCCTCTTTTCTGCCATTAACACCATTTTGTAGGGTACTGTCTTAACCAGGACTGTCTCCTCCATTAACAACACTTTATGAGTTACTGTCTTATCCAGGAATCTCTCCTCCTACTCAATTCCTTAAGACGCTGTGTCTTATTTATCACTGTATCCCAACTGATAGCTCAGTGCAATACTCTACAAATCAATTCTATTTTCTATAACAAAAAATAGTATTAAGGCTAGTGATAAAGCTTATAATCTGTGTTTACCCTTACCATTTAGCCTTCAAGCAACCTTTAACATCAATATATAGAAGTATTAATGCTTCATAGTTTTCAATTTGAGATGTTTATGGAAAATTTTTTAAGTAAATAAAGCACAGAAAGATAATTTACAAATCTGTGGTCCAGCTATGCATACTCAAGGAGAAATGTAATCAGCCATACACATGAAATACTCACAGGAAGGCAACTAATCCAGGGTAACAGTATCAAAACCTGGAAGGTCATGAAAAACTATCCAACCCACAAGCATTGTTTTATAAGAAGGAATAAAATTGAAGCTAAGGATGCTGAATTTATTTGCCCCTACCTAGTGACAAAACCGTGGTTTACATGATCTCCAAATTCACAGACCCCTGTTTTCCCCCACCACACTGGGCTGCTACCTGAATTAATCAGATCATGCTACTCCTTTAGCTAGAAATCTGCAACGGCTCCCAATTTTTAATGAGTAAAAGGCAAAGTCTTTGCAAACCCTTACAGTGTCTGCCTCTGCCCCAATCCCATTCCTTCACTGACCCCACCTCCTGCCATTCCTGGAACTCCCCACTTTGCTCAGCCTGGTCCAGCCGCTGTGGCCATGATGCTGTTACTGAAGTAGACTCACTCCTGTCCAGATACTATGTACTTACTCTTCCTTCTGTCTGCTGTGCTTTGCCCCCAAATACTGGCATGACTCCCTCATCTTCTTTGGGTCTTTTCTCAAATGTCATTTTCTCAGTGAGGCAGTCCTTGTCCACTCAGTTTTAAATTACAAGTCACCCCAAACCCAGCCATGCTTTATCGTTCTCTATAACACTTACCAGCATTTAGCATATTATGCATTTTACTCATTCACATATTTATTTCTACATCTGCTTGCCCATGTAAGTTCCATGAATACAAAGATTTTCAACAGTTTGGTGCCCTGCTGTATTCCTCATACCTAGACAACTTCCTGAAACATAGTAAAACCTCAATAAATATTAGCTCAATAAGTGGGTGTATGGATTGATGGATAGAGTTCAAGAGTGGCCCAAATCCAGAGAATTCAAGAGCTGTGAAACGTTTGCTAGCATCTGGCAGCCCATAGGAAGCAGCTGGTGGCATGGGTGTCATCTACTATCACTATGTACCCACTTTTAACTGACACTCACTGATACTCCGCATGGAAGTCAGTAAACTAAGGAATGAAGTGACATAAAGACTTGTCAAAGCAATCCCTTTTAAGGCTGCATGACTCTCTGGGTTAAAGAGTGAACTAGCAAGTAAATAATTTTTATCAGAAACAAGATGCTGTCACATGCACAGAAGTGGAAATCACTTCTAAATTGCTTCCCTGTGCCCCTCAGCTTAAGACAGAAAAGGATGGTTTGCTTAGATTGGACATCCCAAAAAAGAGACTAGACTCCAAAAACTTTCTGGCATGAACCAACATTTGCCATTAGGCCTGAATGGCTGGCACAGCTGAGCCTCCATGCACCATTCTAAATATAAAACATGAAGCTTCAATTATAACTTAATGACAGATATATAAAGGAAGATATTAAGAGTGCCCAAAAATAAGGCAGTAGGAACCAAGGGTAGATATTAAAACTACATAATATTTGGCCTGGCCATCAAGGAAAAAAAATTAATAACATTCAACCAGACCCAAACTAACATAAGCAGTTTATGCTCTTTCATGTTTAAGAACCCAATAAAGGTTTGCATCCAGGCTACTCTTACCCCACCAGTACCTGAAATAGCAAAATCATCCACAAAGAACAACTTGTCCAAACTTAAAAGACATACATCAATCCTAATTGATGAAAATTAAAAACCAACGATCTCCAAATGCATCACCAATTTCCAGTCTAATTTAGAGCTTTATAGCCCAACACACACATAAATGGAAAAGTAGAAAAGTTTTCCATTCCCAATCTTAGCAATCCCTCTCATGCATCAAGCATGCATCGCGATGGCAGGCTACCCAGTCCAATTCTCTACACACATCTGTTAATCAACATGAACCCCATGTCACATTTTAATTCATTTGCTAGAGAATTTGGGATGATTCAAGTTCTGAATGCTGGTGCCATTTTTAAATGGCATTAATTTCACATGGAAGTATTTCAAAAAAACAAAAAAGGAAAACTACTAGAACTGTTGAAAAATATTTTAGCATTTACTGCAATGGTAACACTTACTTTCCAGTATTCTCAATTTCCTTAGCTAAATTTAAGAGGGCTATAGGTATTCTCTTAAATCTATGATGGCTGAAGCAGCTATGTGTGTGTTGCATCCTATCTGTAGAATCCTCCCCGTTCACTAATGACACACTGCTGGAGAATCACTTGGGACCATTCAAAACCATTAAGGCTATTAACTCTGACTTGGGCCAAGTTTAATAAACAAGTGTCATCCAACAGGAAATGAGTTAAGCTGGCTTGTAAAGTCATTTAAGCAAATACTCAAAGTCAGAGCGCCTGACAAGATGCTTCTCATGGAATTCTTTTGCTGTTGATTTTGCCCAATTTAAATCAGAGCTCACTGGAAGTGTTCATTTCAGGAAAAAAAAAAAAACCCATGTTTAAACGGAGTAACTTTCAGTTGGTTTAAGTGACCACCTAAAAGAATTCCTAAATGTTGCCCAAGTCTCTCTGGCTGTCTCATACATAGCAACAGCAGGTGCACAATAAATACTTAGGAAACCAACATGGAATGAATCCAGGTCCACCTACATAAAATCAAGTTTCTGATCTGGAAATTCTAGATCATAAACAGTCACACATGAGAGAAGCGGTTGCTGTCAGTTACGGTGGTGCTGTATATATTTTTGTCATGTCTAAGTAACACGTGCATTTCAAAATGTGGCCACCTTCGGATACTTGTTAATGCTAAGCCCACACCTAGAACATTTCATTTCCCAAATGAAATCATTCTTATCTTTGAATAGTTCTCTCACATATTACCTTCAAAGAAACCTGTCCTAATAAAAGCCATTCCTACTCTACTTGGCCTCCAGATTTAACCACTTCCTACATTCAACCATCCTGGGACCTAGCTTTACTAGACTTCAATTTTGACCTTATTTATCTTGCCTTTTGTCATAATTGCTTCTTGCTTTCGTGCTCC
Source organism: Homo sapiens (assembly GCF_000001405.40). Lineage (NCBI taxonomy): Eukaryota > Metazoa > Chordata > Mammalia > Primates > Hominidae > Homo > Homo sapiens. Next base: position 69,770,697 of record NC_000003.12, on the reverse strand, counting down.
ATTAAACACTAAGGTTTTTGAGAGCAGGAACTCAAAACACTTTAAATTCCTCTCTCTTCATATGCAGTTGCTTTTGCACAGTCAATACACAGTAAATGCTGATTGAATTGAAAGGATCTCACTCTTAGAATGCAATTCTCTCAGAGTCTCCAACTAGTCTAGTAGCTTAAAGACCAATCCTACTTAAAAATTAACTTGAATTGTAAGTACAACAAAATCACTCCAAGTTATTAACCTAACCATTGAAGTGTTTATTTTCCTACTTGGAAAACCAGGTCAACCACAGGGACCAACCTACCCTGGATAGGTGACTCTAAAAGTAATGAGGTAATTTCCTTCAAAAATGACAAAGCTTTCAGGATTCTCTGGAATGCATACCCATTAATGTGTCACCATTAATCATTCCCTTTAGGTAAAAGCAACACTAGAACATTTCAGAATTTTCAAGCAACATCATACTATATACTCAAGTATCAACATAATCTCAATTTGATGGTCCCATGGCTTACACAGGGAGAAGGAATTAGGAGGTAGATTTACCAGAGATACTAAGAAATCTTTTTTCAAATTTATGAAACTATTTCTATACTTATGCCCCAAGGATGTTGTTCACTGCATTTTTATAAGCATACACAAATATCTATCTGAGTGAAAAAATGAATGAGAGGGCAAAGGAGTATGTTTTACTACCAAACTAGCATTGCTAGATTTAGCAAATACAGAATGCCCAGTTGAATTGAATTTCAGATGAATAAAGAATATTTTTTAGTCTCGCTATCCCATGAAATATCTAGAACAAAGTTATAGTAAACAATTATTCTGTATCAGAAATCCAAATTTAACTGGACATTCTGGATTTTATCTGGCAACTCTGCCCCAAATTCAGAAATTGCATTATTGAGTCTCCAGTTTAAAGAAAGAAAAGGCACTGGCACATGCCTGTGGTCCCAGCTATTCAGGAGTCTGAGGCAGGAGGATCAGTTGAGCCCAGGAGTTCCGGGCTGTAGTGCACTTTGCTGATCTGGTGAGTGCAATGAGTTCGGCATCAATATGGTGACCTCCTAGGGGACCACCAAGGTGCATAAAGAAGGGTAAACCAGCCCAGGTTAGAAATGGAACAGGTCAAAACTCCCGTGCTGGTTAGTACTAGGATTGCACCTGTGAATAGCCACTGTACTCCAGCCTGGGCATCACAGCAAGGCCCCGTATCAAAAAGGAAAAAAAAAGAAATCACATAGCAACGACTACACTTTGTGAAGCCCTAACTTTCAGAAAGAACAAAATAAGTAGTCAAAAAATAATAATTTTTAGAAAGCTCAATATAATGATGGCAGGAAAAATAGTTGAGTAAGATATGAGTGCTAACTAGGTGCCAGACTACCAAGATGAAAACCCTATGTGTGCATAATCTCATTTAATTCTTGCCACATCCTTATGAGGTAGGGACCATAATTATTATTATCATCATCATTATTGTTATTATTACTGTTATTATTATTTTACAGATAAGAAATCCAAGATATAAAGAGAACAAGTTGCTCAATGTCATACAGTAGTACAACAAAGACTCAAACCTTGGCAAATTTAACAAAGGACTTACATGCTTACCCACTACTTCATTTTACAGGTGAAGAGAGAATCTTAGTGATTTGCCCAAACTCACACAGCCACCAATCAGTGCAGCTGAGATTCAAACCTAGAACAGTCCTACTCCAGAGTTTTAGTCTCAACAAGCTATTGCCTCTCCAAATCATGCAAAATGGGACACATGCCCTCCCCACCTACATCAGCTGCAATTACCATCCTAATAAATTTGAATGCTTCATCTTTAAAACACAGTGCTTGAACTTACAATGGCTTCCTAGGAATTTGTATCAAACCCATTCAGCTGAATTTTGACTCCACATTATTATAAATGATTCTGGGTTGGATAGGGAATGTGAGGAAGATTTCTATTAGGGGGAGGAATTTGTTGTTACTGCCATTTCTGTACCAAAACATCACTTTAAAATAAGCCACTTATCTAGTGTCTACCAGTCTTGCTGCCTCAAGGCAAATTCTTGCTTCTGCACATGAATTCCAAACACCGGTAATAACCTGGAACACAGATAGAATGGCTAATCTGAAGCAGCCACCAAAGCCAAATTATGTATGGAAGACTTTTCTTCTTGGATCAGGAACTCAACAGCCCGGATTCTTCCATGTAAAATATCATGTTCAGAAAATATGAGAAGATATCTAGAACTTTTCTTGGAGCAGATTTACTTATGGGAATCCTCATATGCCTTATTCTAGATGCTTGTCAATCTATGGAGTGAAGACAGGTGTCTTTTATTAGGGGAGGAAGGTGTGTATGTGAGCATGTGTCTGTGTGTGTACATGCAAGCATGCTCCATATAAGGCACAGACCTTGAGGTTTATCTTCTTATCTAACTTTATCCTCCAAAATTTCCTATAGAAAGCAGAGAACATGTTGTCAGACTATAAATTAACTTCAGGAAAGGAGGGGAATCTGTGGAGAGCATGGACCCTAAGAATTTTGCTCATGCACCTTATAAAGACTACTTAGTAATCAATCATTTTCTTTTTGCTTGATTGTGGGCAGAGACCATGTCTACTTTACACATGATTGTATTTTCCAGGTGCTTGGTACAGAACAGGCATCCACCTACATGATAAAGAAATGAACAAGCAGTCACTTTATTGTCAGCAGTAAGCAGTTTACATATAGCCTTACTTTTGTCCTCACTGTCCTTGAAATCTTTAACAAGGTTTTTACCCTCTTGCAATCACAACCTATCTTCAGGGCTGAACGATGCATGTGTATCATCGTTCCTCACAAAGACAGTTCAGCTGGAACCATCCTAACTGGCCTCTGTGACACCAGCCCTGGCCACCCTCCAACCCATTCTTCATTTGGCAGCCAGAGCACTATTCCTCTGTATGAAGCTGGCCGCACTCCCTGGTGCTCCAGCCACACTCCGTGCTTAGACTGTCTCAGTGCCACACTATGCTGCACCTCCATGCCTCGGTCTACCTGGAATGCTTTCCTCTCATCTGTTTGACAATCATTTTTTATTTTTGTTTTTTTGTTGTTTTGTTTTGTTTTGTTTGAGATGGAGTCTTGCTCTGTTGCCCAGGCTGGAGTGCAGTGGCGCAATCTCGGCTGACTGCAACCTCCACCTCCCGGGTTCCAGCAACTCTCCTGCCTCAGCCTCCCAAGTAGCTGGGATTACAGGTGCACACCACCACACCTAGCTAATTTTTTGTATTTTTAGTAGAGATGCAGTTTTATCATGTTGGTCAGGCTGGTCTCGAACTCCTGACCTCAAGTGACCCACCCACCTCAGTCTCCCAAAGTGCCAGGATTACATGCCCCTCCATCTTTTGTCTTTAAAGGAATAATTACAGACCTAGCATCATACTTATGTCACTTTGAGTTACAAGAAGGCAGAGCCCATGAATTACAGGCTGGCCATTTATCAGTAGCATAGTGCTGGCATACAGGAGGTGCTCCATAACTGTGCCCCAGATGGAGACATGTGCTTTGGAGAGTAAAAGTGAAAAACTCTGCTAATCTAATTATATCTTCATATCTTACTCCACTGGAAGAATACTGTCTAGACCCATTCATTAAGTTCTATCTATTAATATATCTGCTAAATCTACCAGAAAAATTATTGAATGGAGGGATAATGGTGCATGCTGTTGTCTCTATTGTTTAAATGAACATCTGCTGACCAAGAAACATCATAGAATATTGCCTATTTGTAATTGGGCTTCAGGGACCAAATCCAAAAGGAGAAGGTACAGTAAGTTTTAACTCTTGTATCTACGGTGAGTCATGGGAGCCTGATGCACTAAATTCAGAAAGGCCCAAGGCTCCTCCTGGGTTCACAGGAAAGAGTGAAGTGACAGTTGGCAATATCTACCGTACTGCAGCAGAAGGAGGGAGCAACACAATCCCACATACTTATCCCTGATCCCATCTTTAGCCTTCATTGTATATAGCGGGAGACAGACCCACAGGGTCATATGAGTAGGTAGCAGCACAGATAGGTCTGCAACCAGGCCTCCCAAAACGTGCATTCACTCATTCATTGATTCAACATTTTTTTAATACAAGGTCCAGCATGATGGTATTTACTGGGATAAGACAAAATGATAAAGAGGCTAGGTGCGGTGGCTCACGCCTGTAATCCCAACACTTTGGGAGGCCGAAGTAGGCAGATCACTAGAGGTCAGGAGTTCAAGACCAGCCTGGCCAACATGGTGAAACCCCATCTCTACTAAAAAAAAAAAAAAAAAAAAAAAAAAAAAATTAGCTGGGCATGGTGGTGCACACCTGTAATCCCAGCTACTCAGGAGACTGAGGCAGGAGAATCACTTGAACCCAGGAGGCAGAGGTTGCAGTGAGCTGAGATCGTGCTGCTGGGTGAAAGAGACTCCATCTCAAAAAAAAAAGAAAGAAAAGAAAAGAAAGATAAAATGACAAACAAAACCATTCATGGTCACCAAGCTAGTGAAATATACAATTCATTTAATGCATACTCCAGTTAAATTACAATCTCATGATATCTGCAATTCTTACCTTGTTCAACTATTAAACTTCCATTTTCTTATATTTAGTGGCATTTTCTACACAAACATAAAACCTCTTTTTAAAAAGATAACTCATAGCCCAAACAATTCAACAAATTCATAACTATTTTTCCTTTCCGCTCTTTATTCTATTTATCAAACTTTTAAAACTCACATTTAACCAAAAGCTCCACAATGACATTTGAAATATTTTCCAGATAGCTATACCATTCCAAAATCTCAATTAAAAGAACTTATCATTGCAATGTTAGAAGGCAATGTTGGCTAAGTGTATATGGATCTTATAATACAAATTTTCCCGAGACTGAATAATCATAACTTATCCTCAGCAATGCAAATCAGTGCTTAAAAGGTCTTATGGTAAGGGAATCATATTTGTATTCCTAATCCAAACCTTAACTACTAACAGTTAAACTAAATCCACTCTCTTATGAAAGATAACAGCAAAGAATCAGTCACCAGCTTACAGCAAATATTCCAGCACATATGAGCTTGGTCTGCAATTCTTCAGTTTAATCTTATTTTTCTTTTTAAAAATGAGGGAAATTAATTTGTGGGAAAATTAACCAGGAAAAGAGGTTCCTCTGAAATCTTAAACAATTTTGTCAAAAAAAAATTTTTCACAGAAAGTAAATGATCCAAGATGGAAATATCTATAATTTTCACTAAAGAGTTTCTATTTTGACTCTGGAATAAACATATGACTTTTCAAATTCATGTTGGTTTGCAAAATTCCAAACACCAAGTAAGCACTCATTTCCATAAAGTAAAAAGACACATTCTGGTCTTATTCTAAACAGGCTACCAGAAAACAAAACTAATACTGTGAACAAACAAATCTTCGCTAAAACTCATTGAAATAATCCAAATGGTTTCCATTCCAGGGAAAATAGTAAGTCAGCAGTTTGCATATGGCTACCTTTTCTAAATACACAAAATAAGCAAAAATGCCACCAGAGGAAAGTGGGAATGCTGAACCCTTTCTATTTCTGTTTCCACGGGACTGCAGTTCAATCAATACCACCCAGCAGCACCCAGCCATCCTGTGTGCACACTTCCAGATGGCTTCCAGCGTCCAGCACAGGAGCCCAGAGAACTCCCAGGAAAAGGTTCATGGAACCATCACTCAAACCACAAACCAAGTGATAAGAAAGCCTGAGGCCCAGACTCCCACTGTTAAAACAAGGAGAGGCAAGCCAGAAAAATTAATGTGTAGAGGGCTGGAGCAATCAAAATTGTCACAAATAACACAGATCCTAAACAAGAAAATGATGAGGACAGAGCTAAGCATTCCTTAAAGGAGCAAAGGCTCTGAACAAACAAATAAATTAATCACAACCTTTCACATAATACCAGTAACGGCCTTGAGTCGGAGAAAAACTGTTGAGTAAAAATATTCTATATAAGGAAACTTACTTAAGGGAAGTATTCAAAACCCTTCACCCAGGGTAGAAGACAGTCCAAAGTGCAAAATCAGGAGTGAGACTCCTCTGTCTGGGGTTATTAAAGGGCACATCAGAAAAGCATCCTAAGCGCTACATTATTTTTGAAGTATAACAGAAAAAGGAAAAGGAAAATTGCTGTTTAAACTGCAAGACAAAGAATTCATTTTCAAATCCCTATGTTCCTACAGTACTTGAAAAGACAATAATTAGTCAAGAAAATAGCAAAATGAGGAAGTGGTATTCTTTTACAATTTCTGTTAATCCCCACCAGCTGTAATTTAAGAAATTCAGTGACATCAGCATTTATGTTTGAGCCAGCAGAATGACAGAAGGACAACTGCAGAATCATCTGAGAAGAGGAAAAGAAATTTGGGGACCACTGGAAAATGCATTTGGAAATGTGGAAAATTAATGCACTTTGCAGTGAATCACTTCTACAGCTTCAAATACCAACACTGCCAAAAATAACATAAAAAGTGGAAAAGGAAGCATAAGCACTCCAAACCTAATCAAATGATCCAGTGGAACTTCTGAAAAAATGTTCACTGAAACAAGTGAACTGAACATTTCCGAAAACAAACAGAAAGCAATCTAGCCATTTATGAACAAGAACCAAAGATTTCATACGATATAAAGATTGACATCCCTTAAAAAACATGCTATATAAGAACCTGTAAACTGAGGTACTTTGGTTATCATCTGTATTACCTTCTTGAAAACAGGCACAGAGTCAATTTCCTGGTTTCCTTTTCACAGAGAGAGAAAATAGCTCGTGGGAAAACCACTGAAGTATTTTCAAGGTGTCCCATTTGACTTCAGAGATGGAGCGGAATAGGTCTGAATTCCCAAGATTAATGCCAACCATTAGCTTTTACTTAGGTCAGAAGCAAAAGGAGAGGACAATCACACCAAACTCGACTGACCAAACAAGCTACAGAAGAGAGCTGAAAACACTCACCAGGGCTGCCTTGGCCCTTTGGCGGAACATTGAGTCCACTGAACCGTCTCAGAAAGGAGATTATTACAAAGATGCGATTGCAGACGTTCTGCCACACGCTTACGTGCACCTTCTCTCAACACTAGGAAGGCTAAATTAGAGATAGAGTGATAATTAACAGGATCCTTGGCAGCAGGAGCTGGCTTCTTTAGCAAACCAGTAATTGCTGCCTACTTAAAATGACAGGGAATTCAGCCAGGAAGGAGGGAGGTGCTAGATGGTAATCATAAAAGGTAAAATAGACTTTACATCAACAGGTTACTTGGCTCCAAAACTACCTCTTTATCTATAGATTCAGTTAATAACATTAAATAAATTCAACACCTTACATATGAAGACTAGAGATCAATAATCCTCGCAAGGAAAGGACGCAAGGACATCTGATGAAAATCTATGTCCTCCTTCCCACAAATCTTCCAACCCCCAAAATGTCATCAATTACTACTTAAACCATGAAAATAATTATCAACTTCATAAGATATCATATTGGAAAAGAAGATACTTCCCATAAGTGATATATTTTGACTTGGAATTCTTTTGAAAATACCCAGATGAGAAATTTTTAACAGCAGCCATAAACACTGTTTATGCCCCCTGTTCTGACATCAAAGCCTTTTCCTTTGTTGGTAACCTCTCCAGAAAAGAAAAGGTATTTAACTCAGAGGTTGTTTACCAGGACGACTGAGGATTGCTGGCAAGGTAAAGAGCAGAGTTAGCACAGGGTGTCCTGGTTTAAACCTCCAACCCCAGGAAATAAGACAGCCCATCAACCTATTAAACTGATTATTAAACATTCATCTAGACACTATTCCCAGAAGACCAGTACCCACTACACATTCCCCAGCAAGAATCAAACCAATGTACCTCTAACATCTTTAGATGCTCAGACTCATGGAGAGATGAGGATTCAATCTTCTGCTGTAGGGAGATGACTGTCGAGATAAACCAGGGCAGGAGGCCCATGGTTTCACAATGACTAATGCTGACCAAAACTCTTCATAAAATCAGCTCCATAGGTAAAGACCTAGTTTGTTTGCTCAGGAAAGCCCTGACTCTCTGATAAAGGTGCAAAGAATTCCCTGATTGTCCTCCAAAAAGAGATCATTACAAGGCTAAAGGCTTTCAATCAGGCTTATGATGCAGCCCAGGAGTCCCTGTCGATAATATCTCAATGGAAATCTTAAACATTTCTTGTGGTAGTTAAAGACACATGCAAGGTAATGAATCAGGGTTAGAATCACTGGGAACTTGGATGTTTACACTTTTCTTGGTATGGATGAGAATCAAGTCCTTTTTTTCTTATTATTGTTTTTCTTTCTCCTCTCTCATTAATTAAAAGTAAGAATGCTTTTACATTCATTCTGTGAATCTCTAACTCATCACTGATAGAACCCACTAAATATATGGCTCACCATTAAAGCCATTAACTAGGATTTTTTATAACTTCTTCTCTGCTAGATCATTATATCCTTTTATTGAAAATATTTAACTCAATACTTTGCACTGACTAATGCTCTTAACACCCACAAGTCAAGGCAGAAGTTATGCTCATTACACAACATTATGATGTTTAAAGACCTCTGGCATGCCAAAGATAAACAGTCCAGAATGGAACAGACTGGCTATAAATTTATGAAGACACACAAAAATAGCAATCAACAAGTCAGGTTAGCAGAAAAAAGAGAGAGGGAAAAAGAGATGAGTGAAAAACATCCAGATGTTATGAGCTACATGTTCATGTTCAGTAGTAGAACACAAGGATGGGTATGTAGACAAGACAACTTGATGTCATCAAGTAGCAACATTTGAAGATTATTAATAAGAAATTAGGAAAATCTACCACTTACTTATATACCACACCCTTGTGAATGATTAAGTATCCACCATCCCATCTTTTCCTACCTTTCTTGGAGGATTCACAGCCTACCTCCTTTCCTCCTTCAGAAGCAGCTTTAGAAACAAAGGACTATGCAGACAGGCATGCTGTGAGCACCTTTAATAGATATAACTATTTGTTTTGGATTTGAATGTGCAACCACACCCTGAGTCTTCTGCCTTTACTTCATAAGAAACCTAGTCTCCTTTCCATTCAAAAATCAACATAAGTTGTCACTCCTGATCACTCCTGCCTCTCCCTCCAAACCTCCGAACACCAAAATACATGGAAACCACTGCCAGCATGGTGAATAAGAGAGTGAGCTTTGAAGTCAGACAGTCCTCAGTTTGAATCGCGGTTCAACCTTATTTGAGTAACTTAAGATAGACAAGTGACAGAAAACAGACAAGCACAAGTTTCTTCATTTATAAAATGGGATCCTATCTACCTCATATTAGAATTATATTATATAAAACACTTAAATACTGTACCTGGTAGATAGTAAGTGCCTTACTATGTTTATAATTCACCTAGATGTAAATTATTAATTCCTGATGTTTCTGTTTCTTCACTTTTCTAACACAGAAAGAATTTTTTTTAATTACATAGGTACCTTCCTTAACTCCAGTATAATCTGTAAGAATACTATAGAAATATATAAAAGATAGGCTAAAGCACTAACACAAGGCATATCTGTAAAGAGGGCTTTAAAAATGCTAGATGCTACTGTTATTATTATTGTTCTTTGTGCTCTGTTGTCACTAAATTGTGTGATCTATCTGCTATGTAACTTGAAAGTACAGAACCTACTGAAACCAATTCTTTTTCTCCTTCTTTCTAAAAGAATTCCAAGCAATCCCAACAAGTACTCAGTTAATGTTTACAATAATGACCATTCTGATAACTATAATATGCTAATTTCCAATGCTTGCAAAAGTCAAAATCATCACCTTTATCCTCTAGGCCCTGAGTAAGCTGAGCCTGGTTACCTCAAAAACTGCCTACACCAGAATTTCTAAGCCATCCTGAAGTAGAGACTACCAGCGCTTATTTCCTGGTCTCCACAGGAAGAAATGAAGAAACCCACCAGAACTAGCAAATGGCACCAAAGGCAACCTCTAGGTGCCCTCACTGCTCATCAGTATAAGACACTCCCAGCAGTGCCATGACACTTTACAAATGCCATGGCAACTCCCAAAAGTTACCACCCTTTTTCTAGAGATTTCTGAGTAACCTGTACCTTGATTTGCATGTAATTCCAAGTGGGTATAAATACTGCCAGTCTACAGTCCATACGCTGCTACTCTGGGTGCATGTCTATGGGTTAGCCCTGCTCTGCAAGGAGCAGGTACTCTGTTGTACACTGTTGCTTCACTAGACCTGCATTCTTCCACCACCAGCTCGTTCTTGAACTCTTTCCTGAGCAATGCCAAGAACCCTCCCAGGCTAGGCCCCAATCTGGGGGCTCACCTGCCCTCTGTCAATCCTACTGCTTTTTGCTGGATTTTTCAGCAATGGTCCATAATCTCTCTGTGGTCTTTTCCTGGGTCCCCAACCTCACACTCCACCTTATTAAAGAATGATTAAAAATCTGTCAAAATTCTACCATATCTGAACAGTGAAGCCTCAGTCAACTTTAAAGATCTGGAAGTGATGGGCCATTTTTATTGGCAAACAAACTGATAAAAATGAGAGATCAGGGCTGGGCGCAGTGGCTCACGCCTGTAATCCCAGCACTTTGTGATGCCAAGGCGGGTGGATCACGAGGTCAGGAGATCGAGACCACCCTGGCTAACACGGTGAAACCCCGTCTCTACTAAAAATACAAAAAAATTAGCCAGGTGTGGTGGCGGGTGCCTGTAGTCCCAGCTACTTGGGAGGCTGAGGCAGGAGAATGGCACGAACCCAGGAGGTGGAGCTTGCAGTGAGCCGAGATCGTGCCACTGCACTCCAGCCTGGACGACAGAGCGAGACTTTGTCTCAAAAAAAAAAGAGAGCGATCAGGTACCTGGAAAAGCTTTATTAATGTGGCTCCCTCTGTAATCCACAACATCTGAGCAGATAGTGTTTTAAAATGTTTTCCCCAGTGGGTAAGCTTTTTAGTCCAGAGGAAGAACTGCTAGAGAAATACAGATGCAAGAAAACAGTTTTTAATATAGTCAACCCTCATTATTCATGGATTCTCCACTTTCAAATTCACCTACTCACTAAAACTGATTTGTAAACCCAAAATCAACATTCTCAGAGTTTTTACAGTCAATCACGTGCACAGAACAGCAAGAAGTTTGAGTCCCCCAACATGCACGTTACCAATTGAGGTTAAATAAGGTATTGGTCTGCCTTCTCATTTCAGCTCTCACATCATATTGTAAAAAAGTGTCCTTTTCACAGTCTATGTAGTGCCACATTTTTTGCACTTTTGTGTGTTTTTGTTGGTGACTCCTCTATTCAGTATGGCACCAAAGTTTAGTGCGAAAGTGCTGTCTAGTGTTCCTAAGTCAGTCAGGTTATAGTGCTGCTGGCCACAAGTTCAACGTTAATGAATCAACAATATATATTAAATAATGTGTCTTTACACAGAAACACACATAAAACAAAGTTATGTATTGATAGATTGATTAAATGTTGCGACCAGAGGCTCTAAGGAACTTATCCTGTATTTCCCTAGTAGTAATCATTCAGTATTTGCTAATTCGGTATTTGTAGCAGCTTTATAAAACAAAAATAATGAGAATTGACTGTATTTTTAGCAGTCTGTATCTTTAGCACCAATAGCAGTAACAATCATCACCCCTACTAACTTTGTATTGAGAATGTACATATGCCAGTCATTTTACATATTATCTTCTATAATCCTCACAGTTATCCCAAGAAGGACATGCCATTAGCTCCATTTTATAGGTAAAGATATTAAGGCTCAGAAACACATGGCAAGGGCTCATAGCTAACAAAAGAAAAGGTAAGATAATTTCTTACACATTTTCCTGAAAGGGTTTAGCAAAGTTTCCAAAATTTACTGACCCCTTCTAGCACACCAGAAACACTTCAGCCATCTAGGTCATTCTTTATTCAACAAACATTATTGGACACACTCTGTATCCTGGAACCTTGAGATGTCCAGTGAACTAACAAATTCCCTGTTCCCATGGGAACTAACCAATAATAAAATAAGTATTACCGGATTGGGCTATTGATACATAAGAAGCTTTTGATTTATTAAAAGATACATTATTTTAAAAATAAAGCCTTTTAAAAAAGTGATAGCTAAAGGCCATCTTCAGTGAACACCAGTTAAAATATATTTCCAGGCTGGGCACAGAGGCTCACATCTGTAATCACAGTGCTTTGGGACTCTGAGGCAGGAGGATTGCTTGAGGCCAAGAATTCAAGACCAGCATGGGCAACAAAGCAAGATCCCAACCTTAGAAAAAAAAAATTTAATTAGCCAGGCATGGTGGTGTACACCTGTAGTCCCAGCTACCTGAGAGGCTGAGGCAGGGGAATTGCTTGAGCCCAGGAGTTTGAGGCTATAGGAAGCTATGATTGCATCCCCGCACTCTAATCTGGGAGATGGAGTGAGACCCTGTCTTAAAAAAAAGTAAATAAAATGAAATATATTTCTGAGTGCTGGGAAAGTGTGTGTGTGTGTGTGTGTGTGTGCATATGATATATTTATATATATATATATTTATATATATACTTTATGAGTGGTGGAAGAGAGTATTATATATATAGACACACACACACACACACACACACACACACACACACACACACACATGCCCTAGGGTAACTCCAGGTTCTTTTCCTCTCCCAGAAAGACCTCCCCTGGCCTTTGAGGGTCTGATCTGGGATCCACACCATCACTCAACAGCTACCCATTTTCCACAGGCAACACTGGTTCAAGTTTGACCCTTCCTGCTCCCCATTATCCTCAGCTCAACAAATATTTATTAAGAATCCTTTTATACTACAAGGCAATGAAAATTTGCCCGAAGATCCTACACATAATTCTCAAACCATAACTCCTGGAAAACAAGAGTAAAAGTCGGATCTCTTACCGTCCACCCATTTAGATACTCAAGAAATATATCTATTCTGAAAATGTCCCAAACTGTTTTTTTTCATCTCTGATAGCTGGCTCTTCCCCAAGTTCAGGGTGTCCTAACTCTCAACACCAGCCTACACAGCAGATTTATCCTGTACTCTCACTAAAATGCAGAGTTCGGAAGCTCATCCCACCATTCCACTTCTGACCAAACCTCCCCAACTGTCTTCTCTCCTGTGCTTACAGCTTCTCTGAACACATAACCACTCACTCTAAAGCACCTACTTCTATGTCAGTTTCTTCAGTGTGTTTGTCTTTTTGTTTCAATCACAGAAAGAGGAGAATTTCATTTTTCCTCTTTTCTTATAAAACTCTGAATGGGAACTGTTTAACCAAGAGTCAAGTTTTGGTTAGTAAGAATACTGGAGAAAGTCTGAAAATATTTTGAAAAACACTGCCTTGAGAATCCTACATATGTTTGTATGAATATATATATATGGATTCTGATAGAATATGCATTCCTTTAATTGGTACTCAAACTTGGTAATCTCATTCCTATGCACACAACAGCTGATAGTTGGGGGAAGTGGTCTGGAAGACTCCTGGGCTGCAACCCAGTGCTATGATAGGTTTAAAAACTTGCCACACAATCTACAGAATGGGAGAAAATTTTTGCAATCTATCCATCTAACAAAGGTCTAATATCCAGATTCTACAAGGAACTTATACAAATTTACAGGAAAAAAAACAACCCCACCAAAAAGTGGGCAAAGGATATCAACAGACACTTCTCAAAAGAAGACATTTATGCGGCCAACAAACATATTTAAAAAAGATCATCATCACTGGTCATTAGAGAAATTCAAATCAAAACCACAATGAGATACCATCTCACACCAGTCAGAGTAGCAATCATTAAAAAGTCAGGAAACAAGAGATGCTGGTGAGGCTGTGGAGAAACAGGGACGCTTTACACTGTTGGTAGGCGTACAAGTTAGTTCAACCATTGTGGATGACAGTGTGGCAATTCCTCAAGGATCTAGAACCAGAAATACCATTTGACCCAGCAATCCCATTACTGGGTATATACCCAAAGGATTATAAATCATTCTACCATAAAGACACGTGTACATGTATGTTTATTGCAGCACTATTTACAATAGCGAAGACTTGGAACCAACCCAAATGCCCATCAATGATAGATTGGATAAAGAAAATGTAGCACATATACACCATGGAATACAATGCAGCCATAAAAAAAAAATGAGTTCATGTCCTTTGCAGGGACATGGATAAAGCTGGAAACCATCATTCCCAGCAAACTATCACAGGAACAGAAAACCAAACACTGCATGTTCTCACTCATAAGTGGGAGTTGAACAATGAGAACACATGGACACAGGGAGGGGAACATCACACACCAGGGCCTGTCGGGGGTTGTGGGGCAAGGGGAGGGAGAGCATTAGGACAAACACCTAATGCATGTAGGGCTTGAAACCTAGATGATGGGTTGATAGGTGCAGCAAACCACCATGGCACATGTATACTTATGTAACAAACCTGCACATTCTGCACATGTATCCTAGAACTTAAAAAAAAAAACTTGCCACATATACCCCAAGGATTTGAGAATTGACTATGTGGTTAGAGTTTTTTCAGCGATAGAGAACCAAACTGTTGCTTATTTACTCAACAGTGATAAGGCAATGAGAGAGTCAATACCACCTGCACAGAGAAATGTTTCTGTGATTAACCATTTCTTCCATTCTTATGCAAACTTCTAAGTTCTAGTAGCAATGACACCAGTAGTAGCACAAAACAGCAGTAGGCAGAGAGCAATAATCATAGTACAGGAGGAGGAGCAGCAGTAAGGTGAGCAGCAGCAGCTGGTATCTACTGCACCCTTACTACAGGTAGCATCTCATCACCTTATTGAATATTCACAACTATTCAATGAGGTAGGCACCCAGTTGTCCAAGTTAGTCAATGACTAAACTGTAACTGATGAAGGTATCCACATACATGTGTAATATAATCGAAATCTCTCCCCTGAGAAAGATGGATACTATTTGGACTAACCCCCCTTTCTGCTTTTTTTTTCCCCTTTATGCTTGCTAGTGACCAGTTAAGCCACAGTTTTCGGGAGAGAAATTGTGTGACAATCAAGAAAAGCAAACTATCATATTCGTGTCGGGGAAAGAAAAAACCCTTGAAAACTTATATCCTAGTCTCTAAAGTGGCTATATACTGCTATTCCCAAAAAAAAAAAAAAAAAAAAAAAAAAAAAAAAAAAAAACCCAGAAGGGTAAAAGATACAAAGATTTTGAGGCTCAAGAATACAGGGCCTTATGGCTTATATTGGATAAAGATAACTATATAAACAGGCTGCCAAGTCAAGTGGGAAAAGATAAGGTAGGAAGTCACTATGGCCAAGGCCGAAACATGACAGTTAGGAATTCGAGATTTCTGTGTTGAGACAGCAGTGCTACACAGCCTTGGTATTGTGTAACCCCAATTAGTGTATCTCATTATTTATTTCTCCACTTAGCTATAGTCTATAATTATGATGAAAGGAAACATGTTGATAAAGACAAAAATTGTTCTGGCAACAAAAGTAACACCATGCTTGTAAATAGCATGTGCCATCCTTAAATATCTTCCTGTTAGGCATCCCACCTTTCACCACTATTTGACCTGTATCAACTCCCAAAAATCCTAATGCTGATTACCTAACTTAAAGACTATTTACCCTCCTCCCTCCCTTAGCCTCCTCCTCCCCACTGTTCTATGGATCCTCTCCCCCCAACCCCCACACTGATTGCCTTTGAGTCGTTTTTTCTTTATTAAGGTGTCTAAAACTAGAAATTCAAGTCAAAAACCTTGTTGATGCTGTGAATACAGAGGTAATCAGAACGAGGGAACTAAAAGCCAGGCTTTGGGCTGAGCACTCTACCCATGTATTTCTTTTAATCTGTACAATTACCCTATCACTTAGATCATATTATTATGCACTGTCCTCTTTTAGCCTCTGTATTAGTCCATTCTCACACTGCTACAAAAAAAAATACCTGAGACTGGGTAATTTATTTCAAAAAAAAAAAAAAGAGAGATGTAATTGGTTCACTGTTCTGCAGGCTGTACAGGAAGCATGATGCTGACATCTTTTCAGCTTCTGGGTTGGCCTCAGGAAAGTTACAATCATGGCAGAAGGCAAAGTGGGAGTGAGCCATCTCACATGGTGGAAGCAGGAGCAAGAGAGAGTGACAGGGGGCCAGGCACAGTGGCTCACACCTGTAATCCCAATACTTTGGCCGGCCAAGGGGGACAGATTTCAAGACCAGCCTGGCCAACATGGCGTGTTGGTATGCACCTGTAATCCCAGCTACTCGGTAGTCTGAGGCAGGAGAATCACTTGAACCCAGGAGGTGGAGGTTGCAGTAAGCCTAGATCATGCCACTGCACTCCAGCCTGGGTGACAGAGTGAGACTCTGTCTCAAAAAAAAAAAAAGGAGAGAGAGAGACTAACAGGGGTGGTGCCACACTCATAAGAATCACTCACTATCACAAGAACAGCACTAAGTGGGTGTTGCTAAACCATTCATGAGAAACCACTTCCATGATCCAAATCACCTCCCATCAGGCCTCACCTGCAACATTGGGGATTACAATTTGACCTGAGATTTGGTGGGGACACAGATTCAAACCATATCATTCTACCCCTGGTCCCCCAAATCACATATCCTTCTTCCTTCTCACATTGCAAAATACAATCATGGCTTCCCAACAGTCCCCAAATTCTTAACTTATTCCAGCATTAACTCAAAAGTCCAAAGTCTCATCTGAGATAAGGCTAGTCCCTTCTGCCTATGAGCCTATAAATTAAAAAACAAGTTAGTTACTTCCAAGATACAATGGGGGTATAGGAATTGGGTAAATTTTCCTGTTCAAAAAGGAAGAAATTGGCCAAAAGAAAGGGGCCATAGGCTCCATGCAAGTCCAAAACCCAGCAGGGCAGTCATTAAGTCTTAAAGCTCCAAAATAATCTCCTTTGACTCTATGTCTCACATCCAGGGCTCACTAGTGCAAGAAGTGCAATCCCAAGGCCTTGGGCAGTTCCACCCCTGTGGCTTTGCAGGGTTCAGCCCCTGCAGCTGCTCTCAAGGGCTGGCATTGACTGCCTGTGGCTTTTCCAGGCTGAGAGTGCAAGTTGCCAGTAGATCTACCATTCTGGGGTCTGGAGGATGGCAGTGCTCTTCTCACAGCTCCACTAGGTAATGCCCCAGTGGGGACTCTGTGTAGGGGCTCCAACCCCACATTTCCCCTTTGCACTGCCCTAGTAGAGTTTCTTTATGAGGGCTCTGCCCCTGCAGCAGGCTTCTGCCTGGACATCCAAGTTTTTCCATACATCCTCTGAAATCTAGTTGGAGGCTCCCAAGCCCCAGCTCTTGCACTCTGTGCACTTACAGGCTTAACACCACATGGAAGCCACCAAGGCTTACAGCTTGCACCCTCTGAAGCAGTGGCCTGAGTGTAACCTGGGCCTCTATGAGCCATAGCTGGATCTGGAGCAACTAGGATGTGGAGAGCAGTGTCCCAAGGCTATGCAGGGCAGCAGAGCCCTGTGCCTGGCCCAGGAAACGACTCAGTCCCCCTAGGCTTCTGGGCCCATGATGGGAGGGTCTGCTGCAAAGTTCTCTGAAATGCTTTTGAGGCCTTCTCCCCGTTGTGTTGGATGTTAGCACTTGGCCCCTTTTTACTTAAGCAAATTTCTGTAGCCTGCTTGAATTACTTCCCAGAAAATGGGGAGGCTTCAGGGGAGGCCTCAGGAAACCTGCAGTCATGGCAGAAGGCAAAAGGGGAGTGAGGCATCTCACGTGGTGGGAGCAGCAGCAAGAGAGAATGACAAGGGAGGTCCTACACACTTTTAAATGACCAGATCTCATGAGGACTCACTCACTATTATGAGAACAGGACCAAGGGGATTGTGCTTTTCTTTTCTACTACATGGCCAGGCTGCAAATTTTCCAAACTTTTATACTCTGCTTCCCCTTTAAATATAAGTTCAACTTTAGGTAATTTCTTTGCTCACACATATAAACATAGGTTGTTAGGAGCAGCCAGGCTACATCTTGAATACTTTGCTGCTTAGAAATTTCTTCTGCCAGTTACCCTAAATCATCACTCTCAAGTTAAAAGTTCCACAGATCCCTATGGCAGGGACACAATGCAGCCAACCTCTTTGCTAACACATAACAAAAGTGACCTTTATTCCAGTTCCCAGTGAGTTCCTCATTTCCATCTCAGACCTCCTCAGCCTGGACTTCGCTGTCCATATCATTACCAGCATTTTGTTCACAACCATTTAATCAGTCTCTAGGAAATTCCAAACTTTCCATCATCTTCCTATCTTCTTCTGAGTCCCCCAAATTCTTCCAACCTCTGCCTGTTACCCAATTCCAAAGTTGCTTCCACATTTTCAGGTATCTTTATAGCAATGCCCCATTTCTTGGCACCAATTTTCTGTATTAGTCCACATTGCTATAAAGAAATACCGGAGGCTGGGTAACTTATAAAGAAAAGAGGTTTAATTCACTCATGGTTCCATGGGCTGATTAAATCACGGTGCTTCACGGTTCCACAGAAAGCATGATGCTGGCATCTGCTCAGCTTCAGGGGAGGCCTCAGGAAACCTGCAATCATGGCAGAAGGCAAAAGGGGAGTGAGGCATCTCACGTGGTGGGAGCAGCAGCGAGAGAATGACAGGGGAGGTGCTACACACTTTTAAATGACCAGATCTCATGAGGACTCACTCACTATTATGAGAACAGGACCAAGGGGATAGTGCTAAACCATTCATGAGAAACTGCCTCCATGACCCAATCACCTCCCACCAGGCCCCACCTGGAACACTGGGGATTACAATTTGACATGAGATATGGTAGAGACACAGATCCAAACCATATCAGCCTCTGTTGAAACAGAGGCCACAAGAATAACTTGCCCAAAGACACATATATAGCCAGTAAGTGGCCAAATTGGAATTTAAGTTCAAATCTGTCTTACTCTGAAATTTAGACTTATTAGACTGGTTAGAAGTCTTAACCAGTTTACAACAAGAACAGATCAGCGCTTTTTCTCTAAAGAATGTCAACATGCCAAAAAAAAAAAAAAAAAAATCAAAATGCTTGGGTCTAAGTGGATGAAACACAGGGGTAGGCTGAATTTCCTGGTAAATAAGGAATCCAGAAATTTTCTTTTGGCTTGTGTTACATGACATTGGCCTTGCCCTTCCTTCTCACAGTCTGTACTTCATGATCAGAGAAGTGAACAGCTTGGTGAGATTCAGAACAAGGGGAACGATTCCATTATGTCAGGACATCCTCATTTGTGACAAAACAGATGCTGGCTGGTCACATCCATTCCACCTCTCTGTTTTGGAAGCTCCCACACTCTACAAACTGTCTGGAATTCATTAAGACAGGAAAACAGGCTGACAGTAGTATTTCAAATTTTATTCAGCAGAAGTTTTGTGAAAAACAGTTTGGTCATGTGGACATGCCCAAAACCACCATCACCCTGTTTCTCAACCAAATCTTTCAGTCAAGTGACTGCAGTATGCTTCAAGTTTCACACTTTTAGAGTGTAGATTAAAATACAACCCCTTTTTGAGATTTGGGCCAGGGCTCCTTATGGTAGTAAAGCTAGGTTAACTCTAAGTCACTCAGAGATCACATTATACAACCAAGAATCCTATCCATGGAAGGCCTGGTTAGCCCCATCTTTAGACTTTTCTGTTATTTAACCAATAAATTCATTTTCTGATTAAACACGGCAAATATGGGTATTCTGTCACCCAAGCTTATATATTATTTATATCCCATCTCTATGCAATGCTTTCTATCACAAGTTCATTGAGCAAATCACCCCCACTCCCAACACCATCACCACCACCTTAGTGCCATGATTTTTTCAAAGTGTGATTCAACCAATAGTTTCAGCATCACTTAGAAACATGTCAGAAATGCAAATTTTCAGACCCTACTCCAGACCTACCAAACAGAAACTGTGGGAGTGTGTCCCTGAAATCTGTTTCAACAAGCCCTACAGGGAATGCTGATGCACACTCGAGTTTAAGAACCACTGCCCTAATGATTTTACCACAAATCTCATGTCTCCATATTAAATACTCTTGTATTGTTATTTTAGAATGAAAAATTCACCAGATCAGAATACATTTAGTTAAAAAAAAAAAAAAAAAGGAGTGTCACTTGTATTGTCAGGCCAGAGATAATCATTGATAATAATTACTCACTGGTTTTTAAAAAAGGAAAAAAAAAAAAAAAAAAGGAAAGCTCTATAGTTTCCTCTAGAAAGTTTGTTATCAGATCTATATTACTGTTGTGGTAGCACCCAAGAAAATCCTGGGATTCACTTTGAACAATGTGCACCCCCGTGAAACCAATCCCTGTGATAAGGACATGTAGCCAGGCCTGTATCAGATTCTCCACTCCTGGAGCCATGAAATTGACTTTTTTAGAAAGGTATCAGGTATATGAACCCAAAAGTGAGAAAGAGGGGTAACACTAGGGAGAGACTCCCTAAGGACAGCAGATTGACATGTGGTATCATTGATTCCCAAAAACAAACCCCAATTAATTGTCCTTGCCATTCAGCTCCCTGCCGTTACATCATGCACTTTAGTGATTTTGATATTATGACCAAGCAAGCACCATCAAACTCTCTCATTCACTGCTGAATCAACAATTTAAAGCTTCCAAATATAATCAGTATTGTTAGAATTACCTTCCAAAATCCTATCATTTAGCATTTACTCATCTCGCATTTGCCTAGATAAAAAATATTATTAGTGTGTACCTACCCAAAGACCAGTGGAAAAATTACCACGCTGAGATGATACAAGATGCAGTTCCAAAAAGTCTACACACTGGTTGTTTAATATACCATAAGCCAGTGGCCGACCTCTTACAAGTTATCCTCCAAGCATGCTTCTTTGCAGCAAATGGACAAACCTTTATTCGGAATGTGACCAGGAATCATGCCAGTTGCTTATATTTTTAGGTATTGCTTCACATAAGCTATTGTAAACTCTTCCTTTAAAACTAAATAAATAGAATTTTCAAGAATGCATATTTGGGGTCACCCTCTTCCCTTGAAAGTAAATGACCTTAACTGGCCAACACTATTTTAATGTTTATTCTAGGCACTCTCTGCCAAAAGCATTATAAATTAGTTACAAAGAGTTCTTATTGGCTGAGGTGCCAGCATCCTAAATTTAGATGGTGCAACTATGCAGGCTCACCAATACAGCAGAGCAAAACTAACACTGAAATAATACCTTTCCACCTTTCGCTGAAAAAATTCAAATGCTAAAAACAAAACAAAACAATGACAAATATATACCTAGTCCTTTTGATGGAAGGGAATGTTACAATTTGACCAATGACATATCTGTGTGTTGGTTCATGAACTCAGTTTTAGAGCACCATCTCTACGAATTTAGGACACACTGCAGGCAAGAGGTACAGTGTGGCTACATCTCAATGAGGTTCTCTAGTAGCCTTCACCAGGATTGAGCTAGGTCCTGAGTTAAACAAGGAAATCATCTTTAGGATTTCCATGAGCATTTCCTTTCACCAAATTTCAAATCTCCAACTGTAAAAAATAAAATGTATGTTTTTGAAAAACATGCTTCCTAGAATCAGTTAGTATTTAGGAATATTTTATGGTAAAGGTACCAAAGTAAATATAGCATTCCTGTCTGTCATTTCGTAATTTCATATATAACCACAGCCACCAGGCTAAGTGAAACCTCTCTGCCTCAAGTCTTCTTTCCACTGAGGCAAGTCAACCTTCCCAGAAGGAAACCTATTCTACAAATACAAGCTATGCTTTCTCCCAACAGTGGGGACAACCACTTTTCCAATGATGCCCTTAATCACATGGGAAAACTGATGAATGTGTGTGAATGATTCAGCAAGTTACCCCACTTTGGAGAAGAGGCAAGGGTGGGGAGGGTGAAGACCACAGATGCCTTCCTGAAATTGCTCAATGAGGCACAATTTCTTATATGACAGGATTCTACCAGTGCCCTCTATAGGGCATGCACTTAGACTTAAAATATTTGCTGTCACACAACCCAGTATTTTTCGTTGTGAAAGTTATCACTCTGGCCGGGCATGGTGGCTCATGCCTGTAATCCTTGCACTTTGGGAGGCCAAGGCAGGTGGATCACATGAGGTCAAGGGTTCGAGACCAGCCTAGCCAACATGGCGAAACCCCACCTCTACTAAAAATACAAAAAATTAGTCAAGCATGGTGGAACACATCTGTAATTCCAGCTACTTGGGAGGCTGAGGCAGGACTACTGCTTGAACCTGGGCACGGAGGTTGCAGTGAGCCAAGATCATGCCACTGCACTCCAGCCTGGGCAAAAGAGTGAGTCTCCACCTCAAAAGAAAAAGAAAGAAAGAAAATTATCACTCTGTGGGTACTTGAATCAAAGAACACAGCTACTAAAATCCAAATGCTTTGAAGATTTTTTTAAAGATGTCAAATTAAATGCATGCCACTTCCTGTGGATGTCAAAGTTGGTGAACACTGGAGGTGGTATGTGGGAGGAGAGCTTCTTCTTTTTTGTTTCTGCACCAACACTGACATTTTCACAACAGAGTGGACAGGAAGCATGATCTCAGGACAGAAACACAGGACTAGGAGTCAGGAGTTCTACACTGGTTATTTGTTCGTGGTAGGCGTGTATGTTTTGTGAAATCAATCTCAGGCTTTCCTTTTTAATCCTCAATTACTTAGGCCTCTCCTTAACACCAAAAAAGTAATTAAAAATCCAGCCCCAAAAACTATGGTCAGACATTAATTATCTCAGGACAACAACAGTCAGGAGAACAAGGGATGACATCAAGTAGGATGATCCTAGAGGAAAGAAAGGATAACAAAACTAACAAGACCCATCTCCTCTTTTAGTCCAGGGTTAGGTTTATAAAGACAAGCATGAATCTCTGACTCACTCAACATTAGGAAAACATTTAAGACTGAGTTATAAACACTTATAACAAAGATTAATGTCTGTGCTTCTTTTTCCACTATTCATATGTTAACTTCAGTCCTATGGGTAACCCTGAACACCTACTAAGCCTCAAGCCTAATATTAGCTGCTTTACATACATTACCTTTTATCTTCACAGAAGCCTTGCAAGATGGCAACTGTCCCGTTTTACAGAAGAGAGAATTAGAGTTCAGAAAGGTTGGATAACTTGACCAAAGTCACAGAGCCAGTGAGTGGTAGTGTCTGGATTTGTGCCTTTATGTCAGATATTCAGTCTTGCCTGAAAATCACTTCTTCCAACAGGTCATTCCTGATCATACAACCGAATAAAAAGCCCCCTTCTTTCATAGGCCCATTCTACCAATAATGCTCCATTTAATTTCCATAGCAGTTAGTAAAACTCATCTTGCTCATGTATTTGGTTCATTGTTAACTGTGCGCCACCTCCAAGATGTATGCACCATGCTAGCAGGAACCCATCTGCTTCTCCACTGGACTCCCTATGGCCAGCACAGAGACTGACACTCAGCACCCAGTCCTTGAGAAGTCCCCAGAAAGGTCAGCCATTAAAGATAAAAGCTTCATCACTCTGAATCCCAGGACAGGGGTCTCAGGTGAACACTCCAAAGGTCTACTTCTCTACTCTTCACAGCATGCATCCAAAGCCACAGGAGGGAAAGACGAAGCGAAGAAATAAGAAAGCCACATTGTAGAAATGGGCTAGAGAAATAAGCTTACCATTGAGAAGCCAAACCTGGTCCTCCTCCCAAGATCATTTGCAATAGAACGGGAGGTGCAGAAATTTCAACAGAGATCCCAGACCTCCCTGTGGGTCTTCTCGACCTCGTTTGTCTCTATAAAGATGCAGACTTATCCCTTGGTATAATTCCTATCCTCGGAGTACACAATGTTCACTAGACTCACAAAAACCTTCTTATAAACTGCAAATTTGCCTTTATAATATCAAAAGCTTGTGGTGGCTGCATTTAATATCTTTGACCTGTCTTCATGATTATTTTCTCCAAATAATGCATACTTGGAGTGTAGTCAAACATATTTTTATAATTTATTCCGATTAGACAAACCCTCAGCAAAGTACATTTTATACCTCACACACACAAACATACACACACACAAAAAAAATGAAACTCTCACTTATTGTCCTTGAAAGATGACAAAAAGAAAGTAGCCAAGGATTTTTTTTTCCTATTATTTATCCTAATACTGCCAATCCTGAAACAAAGCAGTTGGAGAGGGAAATTTAGTAACTTTGATTTGTCCCAAGATACATTTTTTTACACTGAGGTCCTATTCCTGACAGTAAGCACATGTGATCTGTTCTAAAAAAAGGATATTTTCCACTTCTTGCACAACTGGAGCAGATATAAACATCAGCCTGTGCAAACTGCACTGCAGAACTCAAAGGGAATTAAACATATATCAACTTAAGTAAAATCTGTAAATAGTAGTAATCGGGAAAAGGAAATCTCCAATAACAAACGAAACCAAGACTGAGAATCCCACTTTAATCAAGTGTTCCCTCTAATCATACCACAAAACGAATCTGCATAGTACGATTTGAACATCTGCAGGTTGAGGCACCTCAATCTTGTCTACTTTGTTTTGGATGCATGATTCTATATATGTTTTAGTTATTCTTAAGAGAAGGGTAAAAACTGCTACCATAGTAAAATTCTACTAGAAAAGGAGGAATTAATTTCATTTACTAACAGTGCTAGGTGCTATGTTAAACACATTTATACATTTTTGCTTAGTTTTAAAAGTTCTACCAACCCTAAGGGGGTGGGTTCTATTGATCTCATTTTACAGCTTAGAGAAATTGAGACTCCAAGAAGTTAAGTTTCTTGAACACAGATGTACTGGTTAAGTGGCAAAGCAGCGACCACAGACAGCACTTAAGCAGGGCTCCCTCTAAACCTGTCCACATGCATGCAGCCTCTCTGCCACCATGAGGTATCATCAGGTGCCTGGAGACCACAAGAAAGAGCTTAAAGAAAGGTTAGAAGTTTAAAAGGCAAACGGAAACCCTAAATGTCTACTTTAGGACCATGCCCTCCAAGATGTCTAACATTTTACTTAGTGTAGAGAAACACATTTGACTATTGTTTCACCTTTAAGGCCAAACTCAAACACCCCTATTTGTCCACAAAACTGCCTCCCCAGTTCCCCTTCCTCTGTTAAATGCCCCCAACTGCTGATGCCCACCCTGCCACAGGGACCACACTCTGCCTTGTATAATTAGCTGGACCCATGAGTTCTCTTTCCCTCACCACACAGGGAGGGCACAGTATGATGTATCTTTGAATTTTGCACAATCAACCAGGCATAGTACAGACTAGAGGACAAGAGCATGTAGCTACAGAAGCATCAGTTTAACTCCAGGCCCCACCAACTTGGCATACCTGAGTTTCCCTCTCTGTAGAATGAGAATAATAAACTATTACATACACCCAAGGTTGAATTAACAGCATTAATATAGAGTTAATATTCATAATAGTGCCTAGCACATAGGAAGCACTAGATAAGTCTTAACTGTTTTTAAAATTATAATTAATATCATTATTGTTTTTATTTATTATGATCACCTCATGCAGATTTCACAAAGATTAAATAGGTTTTACACACGTAAAAACACTTAGAATGGGGCTCACACATAGTACATACTCAATAAATGTGACCCATCATTATTAGTATTAATGTGCACATACTAGGACTCAATAAATATGTGTTGAACACGAATTTTTATGGATACACTAATGTCAAAATTGTTAGTTTTTTTAACTAGCATAAAAGAATTGTTATGATTAAATGAAAGATACAAAGTGTAAAATATTTATCTGAACACTTCATTAGAAGAAAAGCAAAAAGGAATTTACTAACATTCAAAGAACTGTGTTGCGTAACAACACTTGCCTTAGAGAAGACAACCACAGTCAAGCAAATGCAAAACACCTTCCAAAATGCCAGGTTCGCTGCTAGGTAATAAAGAAAATAGCAACAAGAACATCTGCTAACATTTACTGAGCATTTACTATGTGTCAGCACTGAGCACTTACTGTGTGTCAGGTGCCATGCTAATACTTTTCCCACAGTCAATGTAACACTTATATTCTTGAGACTACTGGAGGCAGGCCCCTATTTGCCAGATGAGGAAACTGAAATTAGACGTCACCCAGCCTGCCCAAGGTCACCCAGTTAGTTAGGGACAGACATCGATGGCAGAACAAGGCTCTTCATCTCTATGCTAGTGGTTCCCTCAGATTAGACAGACCAAAAAAAAAATCAAGAAAACTTTCAGAAATCAAAAAATGATTGACAGTTTTGTTTTGCCAAGAATGGATTATTATGTCATCAAAGAAAGGGCATTTTTTAATATGAAGACAGGAGAAAAACATCTCAGCATAACTCCAAGAAATGGCAGCGGCCTTACACCCAAATATATGTAGGTATGCGTGTGACGCAACAGTCTTTGTCTTTCTCATTTCACCCAAACCTTTAAAAGTTCACACACCTTTGTGAATCAGCATTTGGGGATCACTGCTGTATCCTGTCCTGCCATGATAAAGCTAATACTCACTTTCATTCCCATTTCTAATTTGCAGAAAATGTAATAACAGCTGTCTAAATAGTACTAAAGATTTAAGAAGAAATTGGAATTAAACTAAGCCAACTGTGAAGTCTGTCCAGGAAAAGGACATTAACAACTACAAAGCCATGTGGACTGAGTAAACCAAACAAAAGGACTATGAGCCTGAAAGATGCTCCTACGGTTTAAAATGTTTTTGGGTACAAAAGACCTGTAGAGACTTCCTCTGCTCCTAGGAGCTCATTCAACAGTTTCACATTTGTTTCCCTGCCATGACTATGCCTATGTGAATTCTGGGCTCACTCTAGATATTCAGCGCTTTTCCTCTGCCACCCACCATTCAGAACTCATTCCCAGGAGAACACAAGGTTTCTAAAACCTTGTCGGAGGAAACGGTGTGCAAACAATTCATTGGAACCTTTTCCCACAGCATGTGTCTTCCTATACACAGCCTTAACCACCAATATGACCAAAATGAGATTCACATAATCTAAATCCAGCAACTTCAGATTCCTAAAGGCAAGGATGTCTGGGTTAGAAATGAAACATGTCCTTCCTCATGAAAGACTTGAATATCTGAGGTTAGCCCCAATGAACAATATATGAATTCCTCTTTGGAGAAAGCCTAGTAGGTATCTATTTTAAAGGAAACACAATATTCATTGCAAAAACAAAAAACCAAATACCATACCTTGAGTGGGTTATGGTATTAAGGAAGAAAGCAACACATACTCAAACAAATATTTATTGTGTCACGCATTGTTCTAAGCCAGTGGTTCTGAAATGAGGGTACTTTGCCTACCACGGGATGTCTGACAATGTTCAGAGATGTTTTTGGTTGCCATAATTGATAGAGGCAGGAGTACTGGCCTCTAATAGATAGAGGCCAGGGATGCTGCTGGACATCCTGCAATGCATAGGACCCTCCACAACAAGGAATTATCTGGCCCAAAATATCAATAGCACTGAGGTTGAGAAACTTTGTTCTAGGCTCTGGGGACACAATAGTGAGCAAGGAACAAACAGAAAACCCTGTTCCCTTGGAGTTTGCAGTCTAGCATGGAGAAACACGTAATAAACATAACATATTGGAAAATTATACAGTAGATTATAATATAAGCCCTATGGGAAAAAAATATATAGCTGGACAAAGAAGACAGAGAATTTGGAGGAACAGCAATCGCAAATACTGTGGTCAAAAAAGGGCCACACTATCAGTGTGATGGGAATGATGTTTAAAGAATGAACTGTAAAGAAAATAACAAGAACAACATCTGCTAACATTTCCTGAGCACTTACTACGTGCCAGGCACCATGCTAATACTTTCCCACAGTCAACGTCACACTTAATGTTCTTAAGACTCCTGGAGGCAGGCACATACTGGTTGGTGGGGGAGTGAGCACTGGGTCTGTCTGGGCAAAGGATGATCAAGGCAAGTGCAATATAAAAATGCCCAGTGGTGGAAGGGCCTGGGGTATTCCAAAAACAGTGAGGAGACCAGCCTGGCTGTAGCAGAGGGAGGTAGGAGGCAGGCAACAAGAGATAAGGTCAGAGCTGACATCTTAAGAACCTTGAATTTTACTGGGAGAAATTAGGAGCCATGGGCAGGTTCTGGGCAGAGAATGACAGGATCTGACTTGAGGTTTAACACAGAGTTGCTTGACCTCAGCACTACTAACAATTTGGGACCAGATAATCCTTTGTTGTGGGGGCTGTCCTGTGCACTGTAAGATGTTTAGCAGCATCTCTGGCCTCCACCTACTAGATATGGGTAATGATCCCTTCCACTGTAACAATCACAAATGTCTCCAGACACTGTCAAATGACCCCAGGGGCAAAATCACCTCCAACTGAGAACCAGTTTTAACAGGAACATTGTGGCTACTATACTGAAAATTCACTAAATGTGGGTATTGCAGTTTAAAAGACTACTGCAATAATCCAGGCAAGGGCTGATGGTGGCTTGGACCAAAGTGGTAGCAGAGGAGGTGGTAAGAAGCGGGCAGATTCTGGACATATTTTCAACTCTAACAACTCTGGACAATCCAGAGAAGACAGTTGATAGGCAGAACGGCTACAGCAGTCTTCACATATCAATTTCAACTTTTTCCGACAAAGACTTGTAAGAAGTGAGGTGCCCCAGCAAAAACATAAGACAAAAAGCAATGAGAGAGAAGGCCCTGAACAATGTGCAGCCCTTTTAAGTCACACAACAGATGTCGACGACAATACCTTAGACAACTGTGGAAAACAGTATAGAGAAATGTTGCCAACTCCATATATTTATTCACAGATTTTATTTAACTGGTTTATTTCAAAGAGCATGTGTGTGCTCCATATACAAGTTTTACAACAACTTTTTTAATTTAGCCTTCCTTTCCCTGCTGGTTCAGGCCCACACCTGTTTCTAGCATTAACGTGTGAAGCCATTTCTTCCCACATACCCACATTTTCCCTTACACGTGCCTGCTAGCTAGCTACTGAGGACGTTCACCCTTACAAGTCTTTTTTGCTGACTCTGAAAAAGAACAGGCCCAAATCGTGCAACATGAGTTTCACGGCACTCATTTGGGTTTTTCCAGATGGTATTTTCCTCGCTCTCTCAAACTGATTTAATGTTATGTATCAGCTACCATCAGAAATGTTCCAAACAGTCCGGTTAATTTATTTCTTTCAGGATTCCACACACACACTCATTCCCTCATTCTGGCCGTGTAAGCATTTGCTTATAGAAGCAAAAGCAGAGACTGCCCAGTAAAACACTGGTCCCTTCAGCCGAATGCAGATAAAGCCCTGATGAGCATAACCAACAATACCCTTCACACAATATTACTCAAAACCCCCAGCCCCCAACACACACAATCTATGCTCACACACAAAACAGCCATTATGAGGAAAAACCACCAACTAAAGGCTGGTTTTATACGTCCAACTGCTTAGGCGGTTTCCTTCCAATCTGCCGTGAAGCATCTACAAAGAGTCTTCAGCAATGGCAGTCAGTAGGACCGCTGTTCCCAGATTTTCTTCCCCAACTTGGATAAAGAGTCCTGCCACAGCCCTGAAGGAAATAAACCTGGCTGCACTTTCCACTAGAAAAAGAACCAGCCCAGTGCTCGCCAGAGGCCAAGATTACACCACTTGGCTCCCCGTTCAGTTGCCCTTCTCCACTCACCCTCATTTCAAGACCCTCTCCCACTCTGCCAGCCAGGCCCATTCACCCAGGCCCCATCCACAGCGAAGGGCAAGGCAGGAAGTTACAGCCGAGTGCAGAAGCCCTGCTGGATGCTTCCAATGATAGCCTTATCCTAGCTCACAGCTTAGAGGGGTGGAAATAAACCCTTCTCAGCTATTCCAGCCTCCATTGACCATGTCCCTTTTAGGAAACATTGTAAACGAGAAGTACGAGGCGTCCAGAGTGGCTGCCGGACAGAGAGAACGGAAGACACCCAATCCATTTCGACAGACAAGTGGGAATGGAGGCAGCAAAAAGGGTGGCTCAAGGGAAGTGGGCACTAGAGGGGATGGGGCATCAGAGCAGTGGATGTCTTCACTCCTCGTCTAAAAAGTTTCTGAAGTCCCCAGCGAATTAAACACGTGTCTCTGCCAAGCGGGGTACACTCCCAGTAACCCCCAAGACCAAGGCTCATTTCCCCTCTGCAGGTAAGGCCTGGATTTGAATGGGACTCTATTTCCAGAGAGTTTAACTTGAACAAGGGGACACGCCCACCGCTGCCCTGGCCCCTCCCGCGCCCGCTAGCAGCGGTCTGGAGGTGAGAGGCGGAGCCCAGAGAAACCTCACCTGCAGGAGCCCAGAGGCTAGTTTCCCCACAGAGACCGGACTCCCAAGAGGTGACTCCAAGCGAACTAATTGCTTCCCTCCAATGTCGCATCTCAGTCCACCCAAAGCTCTCCCTCTCCGAGCCCTCAACCCGCTGGGATCTTCAGAAAGGGGGTTCACTAGAACTCTTTCTCCCCCATCCCACCGGGACAGCGTCCCGGCCCGGCGCTCCTCCTCCCCCACATCGCGCCAGGTCGCTCCCCAGCCCCCAATCAGTCTCAGCAGCTGGCATCCTCGGCCGAGGGTCCCCGCGCCTGGACGCTTCGTCCCCGGCGACCCGCCGCGCCCCCGCGAAGTGCGCTCCATCCGAGCTTCCTAAAGGCGCACTTGGGCCGGGCAGGCGCGGCCCCCAACTGCGAGGGGCAGTTCGCCCTCTGCTCCGGGGCAAGGGCACTGGGTCCTTGTCCCAGAGCTCCCGCGACCCGCTCTCCTCGCCCCAGAGTGGCAGACGCAGTGCCCCCCAGCCGCCCGGTGCGCCTCTGCCCAGCTGTCACCACTCACCTGCTCTTCAGCGGTTGACTTTTGAGTTCGTAATAGGTTTTGGGCTCTTCATGAAACTCCTCCCCGACTTCGAAATCCGGCACGATCCCCGATTCGGACTGCATGGCTCCCGCTTCCCGTCCTTCCACTGCTGGAAAGTGAGAACAGAGCCCGGGGGCGGAGGGAAGGTAGCTGGGCCTGGGTCCCCCGAGCCGTGCGCCCCGGCGCAGTGCCG
This sequence comes from Homo sapiens, assembly GCF_000001405.40. Classification (NCBI taxonomy): domain Eukaryota; kingdom Metazoa; phylum Chordata; class Mammalia; order Primates; family Hominidae; genus Homo; species Homo sapiens. The sequence continues at coordinate 69,739,487 of NC_000003.12, read as the reverse complement.
AGCTCTGCCCGCTCGCCGGCTCGCGGCCGCCCGCCCCAGCGCGGGGAGTTTACACTCGCACCCGGGCGGGAGGGGCTGGCGGCCGAGCGCCGCCTGGGATCTGTAGTTCGGCCCGGGCGGGGCATTCCCAGCTCGCCTGGGGAGCCGCTCCCACGAAAACTACAGCTCCCAGAAGGCCAGGCGGGGGAGAGGCAACGTGGTGGACACCGCTAGTGCAACTCCTGTTTGGATTCATTGTCAATGTCAGCAGCTCCTCTCCCTCCTCTCTCCCCACTTGCTTCAAGGGTACAGACTTGGCTACTTAATATGAATAAGAATGGACACTGACTGCTCTTCTACCATCGCCCCGACCTCTCAGCTCAGACATCTGCGAGGGCACGCCAAGTGCTTATTTTAAAAATAAAATAGTCAAGGGTTTTGGCACAAGAAAGTTTTAGCATTCGAGCCTGTCTTAAAATAAAAGGACTTCCTATCAGCTCGCATGCTTCCCTGGGCTGCTGCGACATATCAGCTTGTCCTCGGATTGGAACAACGAGGAAGAACTTTCCTTCGCTCTGTAATGAAAACGTTATTGGAGAAATTGTTCTTGTGCGTTCCTTTTCTAGAACTAAGTCTGGACTTTTACAATAGTATTCATCAGTTGAATGGCTCTTTCCCCTTTATCCAAGTAGCCACTTCTAATCTACAGCAGCAATTGAAAGATTCGGTTAATTTTAAAAGGCACAAAGTTACAAAATAGCGTCGTTGCTCTCTGCTTTTAATTTCTCAGTTGACTGGGAGTTCAAATGAGATTTGTCCTAGCATTTCAGGAGTGAAGATGTACAAGTGAACTGTACAAGTGTCCACCCCTTCCCGAGCTTCCCGGAACTCACTTAGGGAAGAGAATTTTAAAACTCTCCGTTGTGGCTCATTTGTACTTCTAGTTCTTCCCTCTGATTAGCTCCAGTAGGACGTGTTCCTTCTTTTCAAAAGTGTTTTGAGGCATCAGGGAGGCAGTATAGAGTTACAGTGGCATTTAAAGGTATAAGACTCAGAGTTGAAATCCCCAGTCCTTCTAAGAAGAGCTGTGCAATCCTGAGCATGTCACTTGGTTCCTAGAAGCCTCCATTTCTTCATCCATAAAAGAAGAGATTGGCAAACCAGTTTTAGAAGATGTTGCAAGGTCAAATGTAAGAGAAAGTGATTTGCAATCTATAAAAACTCTGCTCAGTGGTCATTCTTTATTAGGTCTTGAAGTTATTCCTTTCAGATTAACATCTCATTTTGGTGTTTGGCCTTTCAGAATTAATAAACTAAATGACTGTCCTAGGAGAAAATTCTAAAGAGGCTACAGTGACAACTGGGCACCTCCCAGGAGTTACCCCTTTGCATATCTTGCCTCCCACTGAAACATTTTAATTTCACATCAGAAAAGACATCCAGTAGGATGGATCGATGTTAGGGCTGGAGTTCTCAAGGTGATTTGGAAAAAGTGCAGAAGGCACACTATGTTGCAGTAGCAATTACCAAATTTTCAGAATAAAAATTAGTCCCCAACATACGACTTTTAGGCCCTCCCCTGAAACTATTAAACTATGTCAGAATACCTGAGAACACCCCTAAGGAAAGTGGGAGTTTTGTGCTCATAAAAGTGGGATCCTAGATTCCTTAATAGATGGACTGCTGGAAATTAGCTGTCAAAAGCAAACAAAGAAAACGTGTTTCCTTCATGTTCTCTGGGAGAGAAAGAAGAAAGATCAAACATGAAGGAAACATGCAGTCTAGACTTCTAATCTCATCTGGGCTCTCAATTATCAGTGCTTGGAATATGGGAGGAGGGGTTGTCATAATAACTTATGGATGTTACAGACGTTTAAGGGGTATGGGCCAGAGACACTACACATATTGCACAATAACAAATTTTCTTGTCCAAATTTCAGTGGTATGTATCCCCATTGAGAAACATGGGAAGCTGCCTAATCTTTGGGCTCACCAGAAGTTTTTTAATCTGAGGGAAGCTACGGATCCTCTTCTCAGAAAATACAGATAGAAACAAAACTGTGCATAATTTTGGTCAGCTGACCCACTGAAGGCTATCACAGACTTTATGTTACAACTGCAGTTTATAACTTCTTTAGATCTGCAGTGAAACAGTCTACCCATCACTTATTACATCAAATAGTGACCTTCCAGACCTAAGGGACTAACCTCAAAGGAAAGAAAACTCAGGAAAACCAAGACCTCCGAATTCATCTTCAACTAAGTACACCCGCAAGAGAGGTCTCCAGGGTGCAGACCTCTGAGCTGAGGTTGTCCTGAGGTTCACACAGATAGCTGTTATTTTTTTCTCCTATACCTTTTCTTCTGGTCTCATCCTACTCCTTGTTCAGGAAAACTTATTTTCCATTACATATGGCTGGGTTATCCATTACAGTGCAGTCTGCTACCCAGTGCATTCTGATTCCTTTAAGACTGGACAGGGGACCTTGAGATGACTAGAAGTCCTCCTTAGGACTTCTCTGCTAGGGCAATGGGAGAAGACTGTTTGCTTTGCTAGAAAGAAGAAAATCTGGAGCTACTTACCCATGGGCAATTAGGGAAGCTAATTTGAAATGGAAGAGAATGAGATAAGATCAACAAAAAGAAGAAGAGACAAGCAAAGATAAAGAATAGAAAAGTACGACAACATTGTTTCACTTCCTTGTTCCAACCATACCTGAAGTCAGATATCCTTGGACTTTTTAGATATATGAACAAAAAAAAATTCCTTTTTGCTAGAACTATTTTTTTGTCACTTGCAACCACAAGAGCTTCGCATAATCACCATAAAAATATTTCACTCCTTTAAATGGATGATTTTCTGTGGATTGCTATACCATTAATCCACATAACCAAAAGCTGGCCACCTGATAGATGTACCCTGTAATCCCTCTTCATTAATGAGTTAAGCCCTAGGGTTAGGTACCACTTTGAAAAATAGATGATAACAGGCAATAGATCCATACATTTAAACTAAAGACTGAGCCTATTAAATGTACAAAAGCAATGACTACAGATTATAATTGTTGTTATTAATATTACATGTATTTATGTAATACATTACTTTTTACATACACTTGTCACATACATCTCTTATTTGAGCTCACAAAAATCCTTCAGAGATGGATAGGCAAGGGTTCCCCATTTACTCTATACTAAATATGTGCAAGGTATGGGCATGGCAATGTGTTAGGTACCTGGAATACAAAAATATATTTGACTTCCTCCCTCCCCTCATGAAGCTTCCAGTCCATGAGTTGAGTCAAGGCTTGTAACACAATGAGAAACCACACATAAAGCAGCAATGCTAAGCAGCAGATACCCAGTGTATGATTTGTACTCTCATATCCTCTTAGCTCAACAGCTATTTTTGGTGCATCCACTCTGTGCCAGGCACATTGTGCCCTAGGTATGGGGAAATAGCAATGATGACACATATGTGGTCCCTGCACACAGGACATGGTCCTTGACCTTTTAGGAGTAGAAATGGGCAGGATTTAATGGATAACAAGAGCGATAGATAAATACTACAATTGTCTAAGAAAAGAGCAACCACTGGGGGTCGGGATATTAAGACTCCTGGAAGCGATGTGACTAAGCTCCATCTTTTAAAAAAAAAATCTAGGGTATATGAAAACTAAATGTAATCAAGCCCCTAGGTCTAACCACCAGTTCACAGGAAAAAAAATGCAAGAGAAGACCACGTCAATAACATCACAAAAATAGAATCAGACAACCCAGAGATTTAAAAATTCTGTAAGACATTGAGAAATTCTTCAAAAAATAAATAGCATGAAATAAAGGGGAAGGAAGAACTTGTAAAGGCTTTAGAAGATTTAAGAGACATATTAGGCATGTGAATTATATATCAATAAAAAATGAATTAGAGGCTGGGCTTGGGGGTTCATTCCTATAATCCCAGCACTTTGGGAGGCCAAGGTGGGAGAATTGCTTGATCCCAGGAGTTTGAGACAAGCCTGGGCAATACAGAGGGACCTCATATCTACTAAAAATTATAAATAAATAAATAAACAGGAAAAAAGAGACATATCACTGAAATACCTTATGTGGACTTTATTTGGACCCTGATTAAAACAAACCAATTGTAAAAATTCATTCTGGGGAAAACTGGGAGAGTTTGAACGTGGGCTGGAATTGAATGACATTTTAAAAGTATTGTTAATTTGTATTAGGTATGATAAGTATATTATGCTTATCTCATTTTTATACTCTTTCTGTTAGAAATACATATAAAGTATGTATGGGTGAGATGATATGATGTCTTGGAGCTGTCATAAAATATCCCATCTCCTCTCCTTCTATCTCCAGAAAGGCATGGGAAAAGAAATATGAAACGTAAATGGTAAAATGTTGAAGCCAGGTGACAGGTTATGGGAATTCACTATACTATTCTATCTACTTTAGTGTAAGCTTGAAAATTTTCATGATCAAACATTTTTTAAAAAATAAAGTAAGAAAGAAAAGAGAGAGGAAACTATCATAACAATTTCTTAAATGGGTTATGATTTCTGATGAAATTAGATTAAAAACCATGTCATTCAAAAAGAGAAAATGGACATGATGAAGATACGGAAGCAGGATTGTGTCTGATATGTTTGGAAAAAAAGAGCCAGCAGAAACTAACTAGGGTGTATTTCAGCAGAAAGGAATCTTCAAAAGTCTACTGAGTAGCTCACCAAACCTAAGGAAAGGCAGCAGACCCTAACATATAAGCCATGCAACTGGGAACAACTCCAAAATCTATGCCATAGAACTGGTCTAGTGAAGGCACACCCACACCACTACACCTCCCACCACTATTGTATCACTAAACATCGTAGCTTGCACCTCCAGTACTGCACACAGGACACTGTCGAAATGCTGCTACCACCATCCACCACCAAAATGGATTCAGCAAAGTCCTGGCTACTTCACCTGCTTATCTTCCAATCCAATTGGTGGATCTAGGTTTTGTGCCCAAGCCTTAACTGCAAAAGATGCTAGCTATCCAAAACTCTTTCTCTATTTTAAAGACTATAAAATAAAAAATCCTATTTTGCAGCCTCCCTGGCATGAATATTCAGTCATGTGTCCAAAAACCCAAAAATCTTCCCATTCCCTTCCCTTCTTAAACACAATTCAACTTTTGTTTCTGTTATTTGAAATACATTCTAATGAGCACAGGAGTGAACAGGAAGAGGCTATCCAGTTATCTAGAAAGAGGGTGAGATAGGTATACATGAAGAAAAATATAAATAACAGGAAAATACCAAGGAAACAGGATGTTAGGGTTGGGGAGAGGTGATGATCAACAGCAGAGTTTTCTGCACCATCCTCCCAGCGTATATATTCTTTCTATGTGTGCCAAGGCAGTGGATATATGCCAAGGCATGGGCCCTGCCCCCCCAAAATAATTTAAGCTACACAAACTTTAGACATGAAGCATGTCAAATAGGAAGGTACTTAATTTTTAAGGCATAAATATGTTTAACGGATTTTTAGGGTCTTTTAACTTTTTGGATTATGGATTTCTCTGACACTGTTGAAAGCTGCAGACCTTCTTACCAGAAAAAAAAAGTGCACAATAAAAATTTCATCTGCAAGCTCAGAGGCACCAAGGACCACCCTGTGGTCTACTATGGCTCCTCCTGGATTCTGTGGATCATGAACTATTAACTTCTAAATATATTATTCTTGAAAGTGCTGTATAATGTACTTTTCTAGAGCCACTGCAGAGGGCAAGGGGGCAGGGGAAGAGTGCTATGTTGTGCAGATCAGGAGAGGAAGGTGTTGTGCCCCTCTCAAAGCGACGTCCATGAGCCATGTCCATGAGAATCACCTGGGGCGTCCATTAAAATGCAGAGCTCCAAACTCAGAGCTAGAACTATTAAATCAGAATTGCCAAGGGGTGGGGATGAAGAATCTGCATTTTTAGCAAACTCCCCAGCTAGTTCTTATTCATGTAGGAATTTTAGAACCACTACTTTAAGGGATGACATCAAACCAGGCTGAATGAAATCTCAACAAAAATGAGAAGAAGACAATTTGAAAATAATCCAATGTGAAGTTTGAGGAGCTTGGATCTGAATATAAGAGGCCACATAAAGGGATTAGGAAAGGACTGGCTGCGATCTGCAAGGTGGCTTAAACGGGTTAGAAATGATATTCTGATAGGTCTCAAGAGTAACTCATTGCAATGGAGCAACTGTGAAGAGTCAACAGGGTTCAGAACTCAGCAGTGAGCTTGGGGATGGCTTTACCTTGTTTAAAACAAATAAGTGCCTTGTGGCTCATGAGCCCCAACCAGGCAGATGGCAAGAGATGGTTGTCACCCCAGAGCTACTAAGGCAGGAGCGAAAGAGGGGTTGGACCCTAATGTAGACTTAGAGACTCCAAACCTAACACTGAGCAGTAACGGAAGGCTCATGCTTTTAATTCTTATTCCAAAGTGTCTGAGATCGCAGGATTGGAGCAAGAAGGAGAACACAAAATATTTCACAACATAATATAGCAAAAGATGGAAGATAAACTTCAAAGTGGGCATTTCTGCTTCTCTGTCCTCCTTTACATAGCTACCAAAGCAACGTTACTTGCTTTTATGTAAAATATTCTAAATAAACTTATTTTTATATTAGAAAAGTAATAATATTTATTCTTTAAAAATTAGAAAATGCGGATAAGTAAAAAGGAAAAAAAGCACTGGTAATCCTACTATTCAGATATTTATACCTAGTCATATGTAATTCAATATGTTCATATATATGTATAGATATATAAATAAATATTCAAAAGGAGATCACACTGAATATACAGTGTTGTCCCTGACTTTTCCCTGTCTTGAATTTATTATATGTTGTTCCTTGTCTATAAATTTATTTTAATATTTTTAGAATATATAATTTTTCCACTATATATATTTACTAGAATTTATTTTTTTAATCTCTGCATTGTTGGGCCTTTATTTGATTTCCAAGATTTCACTCTTATAGGTAAAGATAGTGTCGCTGTTTTCCTAGTAGCTAAGTCTTTGGTCCCATTCACATTAATTTCCTAGAAATTGAATTGCTGGGCCAAAAAGCACTCCTGTTTTTGAAACTTTTGTGAAGAGGTATCTTTCGAGAACACGTATCTCACCTTCCATTTTCCCCTGATTGAAATCTTTCAGGATTCCTATTGCTAAAGAGTAAAGGCCAAGCTATTTAACCCTGGATACCCAACTCTCCATATCCTGGGTCCACCCACCCTTCCTTCATCCTCTCAGATCACCCCCTGAGTTTCATATTAAGCAACTGCAATAACCCCAAACTGCTTCAAGTTATCAGAATTTGCCAGTCTGTTTTTCCCTTCCCCTTTGGCCTAACGCAATTATTTGGACTTAAAACCTCAATTGGGCCGGGCACGGTGGCTCACAGCTGTAATCCCAGCACTTGGGGAGGCTGAGGTGGGCAGATCGCCTGAACTCGGGAGTTCAAGAACACCCTGGGTAACATGGTAAAACCTGGTCTCTACTAAAATACAAAAAATTAGCTTGGCGTGGTGGCACGCACCAGTAGTCCCAGCTACTTGGGAGGCTGAGGCACAAGAATCACTTGAGCCCTGGAGGCAGAGGTTGCAGTGAGCCGAGATCGTGCCTCTGCACTTCAGCTTGGGCTACAGAGTGAGACTCCATCTCAAAAGAGAGAGAGAGAGAGAACCCAATCAGGTGTTACCTTCTTCAGGAAGTCTTGCCCAACTCTACCAACCTTCACCAGATCCCCAAGTTGGTTTTGGGCCCCATTCCTAGGTCCTTCACATACACTGTCTGTAATACACTGGATTATAATTATCTACATAACTTTTCATGCACATCCACCAGCACCATCACACACATACCCAGTACACAGCTGCCCTTGCCCAAACTGTGAGCTCCTACAGGGCTGGGACCATGCCCATGATAGATACTCAGTAGCTGTCTATTGAATGAGTGAATGAATTAGCTGTAAGTAAAAGAAAAAATGTTTTCTAGCAAAGTCACATTGGCTCCTTTCAGTAATAACAAAGATAATGCACATGAAAATGGGATTTTGACTAGGTTTTCCATAGTGTTCATATGTAGCAAATAGGCAAATATTTATTGAACAAAATAACTGCTTCATCACTAGGGCTCTATCCTAGCCTGAACTGATTTATCAGCATAGAATTTAGCCTGTGTCCCAGTGGGATTCCTGATAAGGAGCTGAGATTTTTTCGTTAAAACAACAGGCAGACATGTTAAGACTTGCTACTGGGTGATTTGGAGAAATATGCTGAAAAATAACTGAAAGAAGCATATTTAGCACTTATTAAGGTTACTGAAATAGGAAGCACAATAAGCCAAGATGCAGATACACTTCCTCCGGTGAAGTTTACAGGGATAAACCTCAAGGGATTTGACATTCCCCTCCATGTTAATGCAAAACGTTGTCTGAAAGTTTTAAAAGATAAGCTTTCATTTATTAGGTTACAGAGGAAAATACATTCATCTTAATTTTCCACTAGAACCCAGTAAGGAATAGGTGCTCAATGTACTGCTATTGAATTGACTTGCCAAAGTAATATGTTAAAACAGCAAGATCCAGGAGTCAAATTTCAAGAACTTAGAAACACAACACCTAGGGACAAGTGAAGAAAGAAAGTTACCCAGTATCTTATCTCTTAGAAAGGAATTAGAGTGGACACCAGGAGACAGTCAGAGGACTAATGAGTTAATACATGTAAGGTGCATAGAACAGTGTTTGACGCATAACCAGCATCATCCAAGATTTTTGCAAAATAAATAAATCTGTATTTTTTATTCATTTAAAACAATATCTATTTAGTACTTACATGGTACTAAACATACTGCTGCCAGTCACATACTGAGAAAAACTAGTTGACACACCCAGCTAAGGATTTTAAAAGTTTTTCTAGTTTAGGGCCAGGTGCAGTGGCTCATGCCTGTAATCCTAGAACTTTGGGAGGCCGAGGCAGGCGGCTCACCTGAGGTCAGGAGTTCGAGACCAGACTGGCCAACATGGTGAAACCCCGTCTCTGCTAAAAATACAAAAAATTAGCCGGCATGGAGGCGGGCACCTGTAATCCCAGCTACTAGGGAGGCTGAGGCAGGACAATCGCTTGAACCCAGAAGACAGAAGTTGCAGTGAGCCAAGATCACGCCACTGCACTCCAGCCTGGGCAACACAGTGAGAATCAGTCTCAAAAATAAATAAATAAATAAATAAATAAATAAATAAATAAATAAAGTTTAGTTTAGGCAAAAATAGAGTTTTTAAAGGTATACCAATAGTCTGGCCTCCTTTTCTGCCTCAGAAGGGCCCTGGCTCCACCATTTATTGGCTGTATGACCTTGGGCAAGATATCTAACTCACCCTACTTCTCAATTTTTTTATTTGTGAAAACAGGTTAATAGAACCACATTAGTTGTTGTGAGTACTAAATAAAGATATAAATATAATTGTCTGGAACATATAAGAACTATTGGCTAATTTTATATTATTATTAGAGAAATGAATCCTTTCTTTTTCTCATGTCATTTTTCTTTTAGTTTATTATTTTGAAATGAACTTTCCTTGAAAATTATGAAATATATCACACTTAAGGAAAAGTGCATAAAACATAAATGTATTCTTTTACAAATAATGATCCTTGCCCACTTACAACTTCCTTCCTCCAAGAGATAACCACTTTTAAGCTAATCATTCCTTTTTTTGCTTTTAAGTTTTGACACTTAAATATGCCTCCCTAAGCAATATAGTTCATTTTTCCCTATTTTTAGATTTTTTTCTATAAATGAAATTGTGGTAGTCAGTTTCCACAATGGCGCCGATGATCCTGGCCTACTACTGGCATTTTTCCACGTTGAATCAGGGCTGTTTTGTGCGACCAACTTCAAAGGCTAGGTCATAAAAGGTTATTGAGGTTTCTGTCTACTTCTTTCCATGTGTTTACTCTGGGAAGGACCAGTAGAAAGCTCAAGCGGTCCTGTGAAGAGGCCCATGTGGATAGGAACTGAGCCCTCCCACCAACATCCTGCACCATCTTGCCAGCCTTGTGACTGAGTGACCATAGAAGACGATCCTCCAGCCCTAGTCAGGCCTTCAGATGTCTGCAGCCCAGATGACATTTGGCTGTAGGCTCATGAGCAACCCTGAGCCAGATTTGCTTCAAGCCACTCCCAAATATCTGACCTACAGAAACCATGAATAATAAATGATTTTTGTTGCATTAAGCCAAGAAACTTTAGAATAATTTGTTATGCAGCAATAGATAACTAACCAGGAGTTATACTGTATAAATTCTTTTGTATCTTTATTCTTTTACTCAACTTTCTTTAAAAAGATTCACCCATGAAACCATATGTAGCTTAGTTTATTTACTTTCATTACCATACAGCATCCCCTTGTATGGATGTGTTTTGGCTTAATTTTCATAATCATTTCTGTATGCAGAGGAAATTCTTAACCTGTAGGGCTGGAAAAGCAGTACTTTTTAATTTGTGGGGCAGATCTATGCAGATGTGGGAGGGAGAGAGGGATAAATGGCTTTGGATCACTTTTGAGGCCAAATATGCCATCAGTATTTTAGTAATCTAAATATCTTGAATCACCAAAACAATAATGTTTTGGAATGATGCTTACCTCTTTCCACTGCCAACTTAGTTGGCATTCTGAGTGACAGCCTCAGTAGTCCTTACATATGGTCCCAAATAGTCACCGGGCTTCACTCTCTCTCAAATAGAAATCAGAAGAGGGTTTGGGGTGGAGATATACACTCTCTTCTGGGATATATTTTCCTGTGACTGATTAAATCAAAGCGAACATACTGAATGCCACAGACTTAGAAAGCCATGTTTTCTTCTCATTTAAGCTGTTCAGTAAAGCAAGAGTTCTGAGGAACAATCCACAATCAACTGGACAGCTCAGCTTTTTGCATTCTATGCCTCTTTTGGTAACACATAGATTAACTAAGAAATTGGGACTGCAAATCAGTTACCTGGTGAAAACTTATTAAGAATAAGAATTCCATTTCTAGGAAACTACACTGTAGAAATACTCTCACAAAGGTACAAAAATGTATGTACAAGAATTTCCATTGCAATATTTTTCATAATATTGAAAAACTGGATCCATGGCATGAGGACTATAGATAGATTATGATGCATCCTTACAACTGAATTCCATGCAAGTGCTTAAGAAGGAACGAGACTGAGTTCTATGAGCTGACATAGAAAGATGTCCAAAATAAATTTTACATGAAATAAAAAAGCATGTTACAAAGCAATATATGTCAATTCTATTTTCATTTAAGAAACAAACAAGCTGGGCACAGTGGTTCATACCTGTAATCCTAGCATTTTGGGAGGCTGAGGTGGGCAGATTGCTTGAGTTCAGGAGTTCGAGACCAGCCCGGGCAACATGGCAAAACTCTGTCTCTACAAAAAATACAAAAACTAGACAGGCGTGGTGGCATGTGTCTGTAGTCCCAGCTACTCTGGAGGTCGAGGTGGGAGGATCACTTGAACCCAGGAAGTCGAGGCTGCACTGAGGCTTAAACATGCTACTGCACTGCATTCCAGCCTGGATGACAGAGCAAGACCCTGTTTAAAAACAAAAACAAAAATCAAAAAACTTGTGTGTGCAATGGTGTATATGGATTAAACCATTAAGAGCTACTATTGGGGCTGAGGAGGAATTATAAAGAAATTTCACTTTCAAAGTTGTACTTTTTTGTAATGTTTGATTTTTTTACAATGCATGCATGTGGCTTTTGAAAGCGGGGGCAGGGGAGGAACGGCAATTTTTTAATATGTCGTTTAGGTCAGTAATAAAAATGGCAATGATTACGGTGAGAAGAAGTGATCAACTATAGACTTAAACCTCAGGATTCTCTTTAGTGCTTGCTATAGGATCTTCTTTTAACTACTAAATTATTTCTACCACCAGTCAAAGAGCCATAAAAACCAGACAGCATAAAAAGGCTGGACAACAGGTGTATATTTATCTCCAAACTCATCAGATTGTATGCATTAAGTATATATAGCTTTTTATGTGTCAATCATATCTCAATAGTTTTATTTTAAAAGGCTGAGCAATTAGTGCCTAGGGCACCTGTTTACTGTACCACTCTTTATTACCATCTATTTTTCAGTTTCACAAATAAAACATGTTAATTTTAGAAGTACTAGAAAATACTACAATAAACAAGAAGAAAAAATTATTTATAATTGACCCACCAGAAAGAAATGACTTTAGTATTTTTTGGACAGTTGTCCAAATTTATTCTTAATGTAACTATACATACACACACACACGTATATATACACACACACATATATAGATACACACGCGCACACATACACGAACTGTTCTTTTCAAAGTAAGAGTCAATACTATATGCATTGTTTTGTAACCTGTTTTTCTTCAGATAATATATTTTGAACAGATTTTTATATTAAAAATATTTAATGATCATGCCTACAGAGTATTTCGTTACATCAAGAGCATATGAAGGGACTTCAGAAAGTCCACAGAAAATATGTATTATGAAAAAAATGCGTGGATTTCAAAGTTATTTTGCACCAAAATAAACTCGTACTAACTTGTCATAGCATATCTGAATGGGATCTAGTTTGAGGCACTAAGAAAGATAAGACAGTTGGAAAAGAGTTCCTATCACAGCAAGATGAATTCTGCTAAAACTGAAGCAAGAACAAACATCAAATTTATGGTAAACTTTGGGTGAAAGAATGATGAAATCACTGATGCTTTATGAAAAGTTATGGGAACAACACCCCAAAGAAATCAGCAGTTTACAAATAGATAACTCATTATCAGAGGAGAAGAGACAATGCTGAAGATGAAGCCTGCAGCAGCAGACCATCCACATCAATTTTCAAGGAAAAAAATTAATCTTGTTCATGCCCTAATTTAAGAGAACTGACGATTACCAGCAGAAGCAACAGAAAACCACAGACATCTCAATTGGTTCAGCATACACTATTCTGACTAAAAAATTAAAGTTGAGCAAGCTTTCCATTTGATTGGTGCCCAAACCATTGTACCCAGATGAGTACCACTATGATCCTGGAGACAAAGCACAATCAACGCAATGACTACCAAGAGGTGGAAGTGGTACAGTCAAAGCAAAGGCAGATTACTCAAGAGCAAAGGTCATGGCAACAGTGTTTTGGGGTGTTTGAGGCATCGTACTTGTTGACTTTCTAGAGGGCAAAAGAGCTATTGTTCTTTGAGAGTGTTTTGAGAAAGTTTTGTGAAAGCTTTAGAAGAAAAACACTCAGGAAAATTTCACCAGAGTGTCCACCATGACAGTGCTCCTGCTCATTTCTCTCATCAAACAAGGGCAATTTTGCAAGTGTTTCAAAGGGAAAATATGAAGCAGCCACCTTACAGTCCTGATTTGGCTCTTTCCTCCTTGACTTATTTTTGTTTCCTGATCTTTAAAAAAAAATCTGTAAATGGCACCTATTTTTCTTCAGTTAATAATGTAAAAAAGACTGTATTGACATGAATAAATTCCCAAGACCCCCAGTTCTTTAGTGATGGGCTAAATGGCTGATATCATTGTTAATGAAAGTGTCTTGATCTTAATGGAGGTTGTGTTGGAAAATAAAGTTTGTATTTCTTATTTTTATATTTTAATTCCATTTTTCATTAACTTTTTGAAGTCCCCTTATATAAAATGATTATGAACCACTCCTGGATTTATAGGTAAAGTTAGTACTTTTGCAAATATTCAAAACATTTATGAAAACTTTAATGCAAAATACATGTGGATTTTTCTAGAAAGGGAGCTCCTATCTCCTTGGATTCTTCTAGGGTTCTATAATCAGAGGAAAAAAGAGTTGAGTCACTGGATGATATGGTTGTGGAAGACACAGGATGATTTATCTAACCAATCCCTCTTGATCATCTTGCTTGTTTCCAATTTTCACCACTATAAACAGTGCTATAAGTAAATTTAGGAGTTTTCAATTTTGCTATTTAGAAAACATGAAAGGCACAAAGCACTGAGATATCATTGAGTCTCCACATGTTTAAAAATAGACAAATGTGCTGCAACTCAGAAGGCATTCCTTTAGAGGCATCAGAGAAGAGATTAGAAACCCTCAGGCACTTATACCCCACTAGCACAATTCAACAAAGCCTGTCAGACTGCCAAAGTCAAGATGTTGATAAGCAGAAGAAATGCAGAAAAATTGAGAAAATTATGAGGATATTCTCATAATTGAGAATATTGAAAGTAAGAGAGAAAGATGGGAACAGGCAGAGAAAGGAGGAAATTAGTGCACTGAACACCAGTTTTTGATTGGTTCAGCTTTTATTTCTTCTTCCCTTCTTCTCCCAAGAGCACCTCCCTTTGCCTGTGGGGAACTGCCCAGCCCCCATCCCAGGTGGTATTGGTAAGTCTGTCCATCAATATTACCCAACTCCTTCTGGTCAGAGTAGTAAGCTGCTGACTTAAGCTAGACCGATAAACCTTGCTATCTCAGCGAACTGGACCTCCCACTAAGAAACCCTGGGAGAAAAGGCTGTTGGAGCTGAGTCATCCAAGAGCAGCACCCTACCAAATTGACCTGAGAGTTCCTGCTACAGAGACCCTCCAAGGACCCCTAGTTCCTACCCTTCCCCAGACATGATTGTTCAACTATTCCTTCTGAACTATTCCTTCTGAACTCAATATTCTTCAAATTAATTCCTTCTTCTTATGTAAGTTAATAAGAGTCAGCAACTGCAGTTTGAACAACAACAACCAAAATACGAATACAGTTAGAATTGGACCCACAGGTGCAGTTAAAACATAAGGCCTACTCCCTGATTTTTCCTTGTTCTTAAAAATAAAAACACAAGCACAGACGCTAGTATTACCAAAAAATTTCACTCAGGTCTCACAACTGTTTGTCATAAAGGAGGGACCAGACACAAACATCTCCTTACTAGAATAGAGAATTCATGAGGGCAGAGACTCTGTCTTGGTTAGCAGTAAATACCTCCTCCCTAAAGCAGCAAGGAGCACACAATAGGTGTTCAATAAATGGTTGTTGTTAATGTTTTATTGTTGTTGTTATTGTTTCCTGACTTAAAAGCAAGAAGAAATATTCAAGATATACTGCCAAATTAAAAAGCAAGTTGAAAAATACTTTGTACTATATGGTCCTATTTTTGTAATTTTTGTGATTTGAAAATGAATATGACTGGAATGTGAAAATGTACAGTAATATTTATAATTTCATTACATAAAAAATTATCTGGAATTATATTGCCCATTCCATCTGTTAAGAGTACATATTGGCCCGGCACGGTGGCTCACGCCTGTAATCCCAGCACTTTGGGAGGCCAAGGCGGGAGGATCACGAGGTCAGGAGATCGAGACTATCCTGGCTAACATGGTGAAACCCCGTCTCTACTAAAAGTATAAAAAATTAGCTGGGCGTGGTGGCGGGAGCCTGTAGTCTCAGCTACTCGGGAGGCTGAGGCAGGAGAATGGCGTGAACCCAGGAGGCGGAGCTTGCAGTGAGCTGAGATCGAGTCACTGCGCTCCAGCCTGGGCGACAGTGCAAGACTGTCTCAAAAAAAAAAACAAAAAACAAAAAAAAGAGTAGGCTGGCAGGAAAAGAGAAATTGGCAATTTTTTAATACTTCAGTGTTACTAAATTTTTTGCAGTTCAGATATATCATTTCTGCAATTAGAAATGATTTTTTAAATTAAGGAAAAGGAAGGAGGGAAAAGAGAGAAAAAAGAATGAAAAAGGGAAGAAGTTAAAAAGAAAGAGAAAGAAAGGGAAGAGGAGACAGAAGGACAATGCCACTCTCTGGTGGCACTCTGCCATGGATTCTTTATCACAGTGACCATCAGGCCTGTTCAGCAATATTTCCTTTCAGGCACATGGTAAAACAGAACTTCCCACACCTTTAAGGTAGGCCTGGCTATGCGTCTTGCTTTGACCAAGGAATATGAATGGCATGTGAAAATGCGAATGTGCAATGCATGTCACATCCAGGCAGAAGCCTTCAAGAGCCAACGTGCGATCCATCACATTCTCCTCCCTCATCCACCACAATCACTGATGCTGGAAACTCCTTACAGCCTGGGTCCCTGAGTAAGGATGACATGGAACAGAGCCCCCTCCCCCATCAAACCATGTTGAACATGGAGCATACACAAGAAATAAACCTTTATTTTAAGCCACTGATTAAGAGATTTCATTTTTACATATTTAGAGATACATATCCGTTTAACTCAGCTTCCCAAATATTAATACAGCCAGGGTACATTTGTCAAAAATGATAAATTAACACTGAAACAACACTATTAATGAAACCCCAGACTTTATTCAGATTTCTCCAGTTTTTTCACTGATTTCCTTTTTCTGTTCCAGGATCTAAATCAGGGTACCATATTGCATTTATTCATCAAGTATCCTTAATCTCCAAAAGTCTATGACAGTTTCTAGGTCTTTTCTCTTTTCTTTTCTCTCTCTCTCCCTCCCTCCCTCTCCCTCTTTCTTTCTTTCTCTTTTTCTTTTCTTTTTTCTTTCTTTCTTTCTTTCTTTCTTTCTTTCTTTCTTTCTTTCTTTCTTTCTTTCTTTCTTTCTCTCTCTCTCCCTCCCTCCCTCTCCCTCTTTCTTTCTTTCTTCTCTTTTCTTTTCTTTCTTTCTTTTTTTTCTTCCTTCCTCTCTCCCTCCCTTCCTCCTTCCTTCCTTTTTTCCTTCCGTCCTTCCTTCCTTCCTCTCTCTCTCTTTCTCTCTGTCTCTGCCCCTCTCTTTTCTCTCTCTCTTTTTAGTAACTTTAAAAGTTTTGGACCGGGCGCGGTGGCTCATGCCTGTAATCCTAGCACTTTGGGAGGCCGAGGGGGGTGGATCATGAGATCAAGAGATTGAGACCAGCCTGGCCAATATGATGAAACCCCATCTCTACTAAAAATACAAAAATTAGCCGAGCGTGGTGGTGGGTGTCTGTAGTCCCATCTACTCGGGAGGCTGAGGCGGGAGAGTAGCTTGAATCTGGGAGGTGGAGGTTGCAGTGAGCAGAGATTGTTCCACTGCACTCCAGCCTAGGTGACAGAGTGAAACTCTATCTCAAAAAAAAAAAAAAAGTTTTGAAGAGTATGTGTCAGGTATTTTACAGAAAGTCCCTCAATTCGGGTTTGCCTGCTGTTTTCTTGGAATTAGTCTAGGATTATGGATTTGGGGAAGAATACCACAAGGCAAGGTTCCTTTCTTATCCCTATATATCAGAGGTACATAATATCCACCTGACTTATCACTCCCTGGTGATGTTAACCTTAGTTGATTGATTGAGGTGGGGTCTGCCAGATTTCTCCCCTGTATAATTACTGTTTTTCTTCTTTCCATAGTCTGTTCTTTGGAATAGAGGTCACTTAGGCCAGATCACACCCAAGAGGAGAAAAATTAAGCTATAGCACTCTGTTGATGTATGAAAAAAACAAACCAAAGTGTTTTTGTATTCTCTCACTCTCCAACAATCAACACAAAGAATTCTGTGACCTCTGGTCTGGTCACCAAGAAGTGTGTGGAGATTTTTCCCCATCAACAACCAATGAATTATTCAGTGGACACCAACTGGGTGTGCTCTAATTCAATTCAGTTCTGATACTATCACCTGGAGATAGCATCAGATCCTGTAGGTGGAGAGCTCAGTCCCCAACTTCAGGTACCAATGGTAAGCCCCAGGTTGTTTTACCTGTGTTTCTGACTGACCAGTTATAAATTGGGGTTCCCACAGCCCGCTCCTTGAGTTCAATTGATTTGCTAGAGCACCTCACAGAACTCAAGGAAATACTTACTTGTGTTTATCAGTTTAAAGCATATTTTAAAGGATACAAATGAAGAGCTGCATGGTGTGAGGTATAGGGGAAGAGGTGCAGAGCTTCTTTGCCCTCTCTGGGTGCTCCATCCTCCAGGAATCTCCATGTGTTTAGCTCTCTAGAAGCTCTCTGAACACAGCCCTTCTGGTTTTTATGGAAGGTTCATTACACAGGCATGATTGATTAAAGCTTTGGCCACTGGTGATCAACTTAATCTTCTTCCCCTCTCTCCTCCCCAGAGGTTGGGGATGGGCTGAAATTTCCCACCCTCTAATCCTGCCTTGGTCTTTCTTGTGATCAACCCACATCCTGAAGCTACCCAGGGGTTGCCATCCACTAGTCAACTCATTAGCATAGACAAAGACATTATTTTGGAAATTCTAAGGATTTTAGGAGTTGTATGCCTCCTGAACCTATGAAAATGGAGATGAAGACCAAACATACATTTCACAATATCATGGCCACTATCTTGGTTACTCTCTCTCAACTCTGAAGAAGCTAGCTGTCATGTCAGGTAAGCCGCTCTATGGAGGTGGTCATGTGGCAAGGAACTGAAGTCTCCTGCCAACAGCCACACGAGTGAGATTGGAAGTGCATTCTCCAGCCCAGGCTCACATCCCGACTGCAAACTCGTGAGAGACCCTGAGCCAAAATACCCAGCTAAGCCAGTCCCAGATTCCTGACCCTCAGAAACTGTGTAAGGTAACAAATATGTGTTGTTTAAAGCTGCTACATCTTAGGTAATTTGTTATACAGCAATAGATAATGAATTCACCGGGCAATACTCTCACCTCTTTTCTTTGGCTTTTGTCTCCATATCTGGTTTATTCTTTCCTCTCTTTACATTTAATTTGTCTTGAACTTCATGCCTTTGGCCAAAATAACTACTTACATCTCCCCGGGTAACGTCTTGTTGGTTCAAGGCTCCAAACCACACTGAACAGAAGTTACTCAGGTCCAAATTCTAGGGAGAGAGAAACTAATTGGTGCTGAATGGGTCATGTAACTGACTGCTCTGGTCCAATTAATGTGGGATGAAGGCAAGGTGTATACACATGGCTGTCTAGGGTCCACTCCTTGTGTGTACGGAGAGGGGTAATTCTCAGAGGAAGAGGGTTAACATGAGCCTTGCAGATACTCCACCAATACCCAGCTTTCCATGTCTGACACACTAAAGGGAGTGAAAGACAAGACATGGGCCCCATATTCAGGAACTGGTAGTGAGATAAGAAGTGTGGACAATGAGAGGACCTCTTCACTGTCTTCTGAAACAGGCCAGACCTACATTCATATGTCTGTTGATTCCATCTAAAAATGGCAGGAAGAATAATATTTTTACAAACAAGGGGTGACTTCAGGAGACAAATGTGTGAAATGCAGCATTATGTTACAAACTATAGAATTCCTGGCTATGTAATCCCAGACCCCATGGACATCAGGGATATTTTCAGCCCAACATCCAGTAAGTCTTTGATTTGTTTGTCGGTAAGGTGATAGCTCTTGCAAAGATTGGTTTAAAAATAAATACATCGTGGGTGAACTCCTTGAGCAAAGCATGAACAAATGGAGTGTCAGGACGAGTTAAAACCAGGCTTGGAAGGAGTTCCTGTAGAGTTTCCAGTTGGTGAAGAAGTATAGCTCACTTTACTAGTTGGTGTCCAGCTATAGCAGGATGTTAATAGCCAGTCTTACTGAAATCCACCTCTCTGCTATGAAGCAATGGAAATGGCAAGACCTGTGTCACCCAGTGATCCTCTACAAGTAGATAAAATTTCTGACACTGCAAAGATGAGCTAAAATTAGCTTTTACAATGTAAGAGCTGCCTCTGATTTTCAATTGCTTTGATATTTTAATTGAGATGCAGTTACACACATGCACCTCAGAGTGACTGGGAAGGTAGTAAAACAATTACATAAAATATTATCCAAAATTCAGAATCCATCACCACCACGGGTTGTGTGTAAACATTTATTTAAATGCTAACTTAAAATATCCTTGAGATTAAGGATGTAACATGAATCCCTTTCAAGTGCAAAATTATCTACATCAGTTCACAGCTAGCCTCCTGCTAATCATTCCCCGCAGATCCCGGAGAGAAGGCTGATCACATTGATAATCAAGATTTGCTGAAACAAAAGCACACACACACAAAATCTTCTGAGTCATCAGGTTGTAGCTGGAAAACATTAGACACAAGCTACAGAGTTCTATGAGTTTAAAAATACCCTTTATACTTCTAAGTCTGTTCTCTTGAATTTGACTATGGAGTTCCAGTGCTCCTCTTCTCACAGCTCTTCAGAGAGAGAATCATACTCCAGAAGCAATAATACATGTCTATGATGAAAACAACCATCTACAGAAAGGAAACACCCAGTAAATGACATAGTATTTACCCCTGAGCAGTTACATGGGTGGGCCTTGCTAGTCATGTGCCTTTTTGCTCTCTGCCTCAGTCCTTAGGGAACCACATTCCTCAGGCTCTGTTGCCCTCGGGCTTCCAGGTGATTTAACCAATAGGAGGCACTGGTACAAGACTGAAAGAAAAGTGGAGGCCAGAAGCCAGAGGACATCTCCCCCACCCTGCTTCATGCGGTAGAAGCCATTTCTACTCTGTAGCACCATTTCTACAGGACAGCCCCCCTCTTCCTGATCCCAGTTCCTGCCTGACAACCCATTAGGATTCCAGCTTCCAGCAGATGGCCCCAAATCCTGGGCTTTCGTAACTTATACCTCTCTCTCTCTGCAGTACTAGGGTCGGTACTAGGAGTCATGGCAGTTGTCTTATCTGAACCCTAACTAATACAGGGACAAGAAATTAACATGCACACATTCAAAAGTCCACAGTAGCAAATCTATGTAATAAATGAGTAAATTGGATAATCCAATATATGTTCGCAGACAGCAGAGGTCACAGAGACCTAAAAATTGAGCTCACCTGTGATTCATTACAGTTTCCCAGTGTGCCTCTCTTCAATGTCGTGATGTTTCGGCTTCAGCTTCTATAAGTAATAGAAAGTAAATAATAAGTAATAATAAGCCTTTTTCTCTTAGTATTTTCCAGTCAAATTTCTGAAAGAGCTTATTAAGTTATGTCATTCTTGGCATAAAATGCTAGTTAGTCTGTTGATTGGTTTCCCTCTCTCATGGATCCAATCCCTCATGGTCCCTTACTTAAGAAAGGACTGAACACACCAATGGTAGCTGAGATTGAGCATTAACTCTCCTGTGAGGGACCTTTAATCTATTATCTCACTTAATTCACAAAATAACCTGATAAGTGGTGTGTTATTATCATCTCCATTTTAAAGTTGGTGAACTTGAGGCTCAGAAATTAAATATTCTGTCTTTACACAGGGTTGCCTATTGCCTCATCTTCTGTGAGGATTGCACCTTCAGTGGCTCTGTCCCTATTATAAGAGCTGGGGGCAGGCGGCCCAGGGATTGACAGCTCTAGTAGACAATGAGGACAGTGGTGGATAGGCTACGGAAGGAGGGAGTCAGGAAGGTCTTGTGGAAGATAGGCTACGGAAGGAGGGAGTCAGGCTATGGAAGGTCTGTGAATCTCGGCCAGGAGGTATATTTAAACGTTCATGAGATTCTCCATTAAGAGAATAATATTATTACAAAGCATAACCATTTTAGTTCATGGCAGTTGATTCAGTTCGAGTTACTTTTTTAATAGAAAAGGCCTCACCATACTTCTATAAGGATTCAAAGACCTTCTCTTGTTTAAAATAAACACAATATCAATACAGAGTTCCCAGTCTCCACATGAGCACTATTATTTGAGGCTCATGTATAATTCCTATCATTAAAAAAACTGAATAATCACAGCCACCAAAAGTAAACACTATTACCATCTACCTCCACCTCCACATAAAATGTACAGAAAAACAATATTGTTTATTTTTACTGGATGCCCTAACTACAATCCAATGTACTGCTGTGATCTTGCTATTATGTTGAAACAAGTACATATCCAATTCTCACATAGAGTGATGAGTAAGACTGTATTCCTGTACAAATACCTGCTAAGGTATTTTGTTTATGTTTTAATTGCACATGTTCAAAGTGAGGAGTTCTGGGGTTTTGAATAAGTTAGCAAAAAGAAAAGTTGATTCCACAATCCACAGTCCCCCCACCCGACATACAAATCTACCCACCCGCCCCCTCTCCATACACATTTACACAGGTGCATGCCTCAACTTGACACTCTTATTGGAAGGCAGAAAATGCAAACCTGCACCTCTCCCCAGGAATGAGGGTCTGTTCTAGAGAGTGAAGGAAGAAATGAAGGATTTAAAATGTACAATCCAATGAGAATCCATCCAGTAGCGCAGGCCAACAGGAGGCCAAATGAAGCAGATTAAGGAGACGAAAGGCCAAGCGGGATGGCTCATGCCTGTAATTCCAGCACGTTGGGAGGCCAAGGCAGGTGGATTACTTGAGGTCTGGAGTTTAAGACCAGCCTGGCCAACATGGTGAAACCCCATCTCTACTAAATACACAAAAGTTAGCCAGGCATGGTGGCAGGTGCTTGTAATCCCAGCTACTCAGGAGGCTGAGGAAGGAGAGTCACTTGATCCCGGGAGGTGGAGGTTGCAGTGAGCCGAGATCACACCACTCCACTCCAGCTGGGGAAACAGAGTGAGACTCTGTCTCAAAAAAAAAAAAAAAAAAAAAAAAAGAAGGAAGCCACTGGGCCCCCACGGGCATTAACTTGGAGCAGAGCATTGCTGCAAAAGGATGGAGTCTTAGATTGGAAAACAGGAAAATGCACTTTCATACTTGATAAAAAACACAAGGGAAAACAAGTGTCTTTTCTTCCCACTATAAACAGAAAGTCTCGTCAAAGTGTCAGGGGTCAATTTGAGCATTGTTGGTTTAGAATTCAAATGCAATAATGTGTCATGTAATACCATGAGATGGAATTCTGAGAATAAGTAGAAGGTACTTCTAAGTCTGGGGTAATTTCAAAATTCAAATTCATTTCCTTAATTTCCAAAACTCAAGCTGTTGTGAAGAGAACACTGCTAGAAAATCTAGTTTAGCTCCAACTCTGCTCTCTTGGGCACATTGTTTGATCTCAACTTATAAAATGGATACAATAATCCTTGTTTTACAAACAGTGAACATTTCCAGTCCGTATGCACTGCTATGTCCCAGCACGCCCTCTACTAACTTCCCCAGCCACCCTTCCTCACTTCTCAGAAACCCCAGATCTGGTCCTCTCCAGCAGCTAAGTAGAAACCTGGCCCTGCCAGGAGCTGCTAAGATCTTGCTCCACTGCCAAGGCCAACGTAGGTTCTGATTGGTCGTGATGCTCACACTAATACTGGTTGCCAAATATTTTGAACATCACCTGTACAGGGTGGTGGTAGAGATGAAATGGCATCATATAACAGGACATGGTTTAGAACCCATTACACACTCTATATGTGAAACGTACTGTCCTAGAGAGAGGTGCTTGTGGTGCAACCTTACACCCAAGAGTATTTGCTATGTTAGGTCAAGCATGGTGGCTCACACCTATAATCCTAGCACTTTGGGAGGCCAAGGCAGGTGGATCACCTGAGGTGAGGAGTTCGAGACAAGCCTGGCCAACATGCCAAAACCCTGTCTCTACTAAAAATACAAAAATTAGACAGGTGTGGTGGCAGGAGCCTCTAAATCCCAGCTACCCAGGAGGCTAAGGCAGGAGAATTGCTTGAACCCAGGGGGTGGATGTTGCAGTGAGCTGAGATCACACCACTTCACTCAAGCCTGGGAGACAGAGGGAAACTCCGTCCAAAAAAAAAAAAAGAAAGAAAGAAAAAGAAAAAGAAAGAAAAATTTTTAAAAAGAGTATTTGTTATGTTAGAAGAATAATTTGGATTTTTAATTTCTAGCCCACTGACATCTATGAATAAGGCATTTTTTTCCATTCTGCAAAGTCAAATAAGACACTATCCCCGTCCCAAGGAGCTGAATCTAGTCCTCAGGCCAGTTTGCAGAGAGGAGACAGGAGCCAACCTCAAAGAGCTCCCCATGACCAAAGTGGAACAATTTTTAAAGGCTTTTTGAAACAGCCAATTATTTTTTGGACATAATTTAGAGCAAATAAAAAATACACACAAACATCTCTATGGGATCTATATTTGTTCTGCAAGTTGCCTCTTCACAGAACACTGTGTTGAAGATCTGCTCATGTGAACCATAAATGGTTTCACATCACTTTTTTTTGTCTTTCATAATATTTGTTAGTATGGCTGGATCACAGTTTAGTCAGTGCCTTAATTAATGTCACCTAACCTATTCTCAGTTTTTGGCTGCTTTAAGATTTGCTGCGCTGAAGACATTTGCACATTGCCTCCTTAGGTGCTTCCCCCAGGTGAGTCCTGAGCAGTGAAGTTACAGTTCATAGAAATGCCCAATTCGAGTTTTTCAGATGCTGCCAAAATGCCCTGCAGAATAAAATTACAATTCATACTTTTATTGCCCATCTGCCCATATTTTTGCCTACACTTAATATTAACAGATATTTCTTTTTACCAGCCCATTAGGAGAAAAATTATATCTACTTCATTTTGGGGAGGTAATTTTGTTATTGTAAATATATACAAAATAATGACTATGATGTATGCATATACATACAATTTGAATATTAACAATCAAACACCCAAGTACCTACCACTCAGCTGAATATTAATATTAACTTAGGAGCATCTTGTGTGACCCTTCCCTGTTGTGCAGCAATAATTCTTTGTCCTGTATATGAATATAAGTTGGAACAATTTGAGCAACAAAATAAATAACTATAGTATTGGGTTATAACCTGAAGAATAAATGTTTATACACCCATGCTGATGTAAGTAAATGATAGAATAAATAAATAAGTGGGAGAGAAGGGCACATCTTCCCTTTTGAAGAATTTCTAGCAATACGTATAGAAACTCCCCCCTCATAGCTAACACCTCTCTATTGGATTTTCCTCTTTTGAGACCCTTTTATAATAGGATGTGTGGTATTTGAGGGTGTGTGTGGGCACGTATGGGTTTGTGAATGTGTAAGGGTAAATAAGAGTTCTTATGTGTGAGGGAATGTACATGTGAGAGGAGCTGTGGGTACCTGAGAAGGTGTGTTAGGGTGTGTGTGTGTGTGTGTGTGTGTGTGTGTGTGTGTGCGTGCTGGAAATTGTCAACAGAATTTTTTTAAAGCAAAATTGAAGCGTACTGTTTTTCCCCTTATTATAGTCCCTATGGTAAATTGTTATTTGGTTTGTTGATTTCCTTATGAAAATTACACCCTTCAGGTGAATACTTTAAATTTTTAATATATGTTTTCTTAACTCTACATATGAACTGTAGAACAACCACCTGAGTGAAGTAGAAATTGTAGCATGATTTTCTTTCTGCTTTTGTAGCTGTGATAAAATTAATACAGTTAAGGCTAATGAAAGAAATTTCAGGAGTCACATATTTGACAAAAATAATAAGAAGAAACATATATTAGACTTTTTATATTTAATGGTTAGAATGATACAATAACTTCAAGAGCTGGGCCTCTGCCAAATCTTTTTTCTTATTTTCAGTATTTAAACAACAACAACAACAACTACAACAACAACAAAAAAGCACCACCACTTTTCAGACAAATACTGAATCATCCTCCCAAATGCAACACGCTATTAACTCAATTGTTTTTTATTACAATAGAGTTAGGAATATACTCCAAATGAAACTTGATTAAACAACTCCCAAGGGAGGTAAATACTTTGAATTTCCAATGCGGTGTTTGTCTTTAATTTGGTATAGATGATGGGAATGTGGTCAAGCAGGTCCCTGAGAGGTTCATTAGTGATGATGGAAGGGATGCGGCCAAGGCACATAATAAACGTGCAGTCCTTGAAGTGTTAGGTTATTTGGGGAAGCCAGTTAGCATCTCGGTGATCAACGTCTTTAGCATTTGTCATTTGGGGAGCTCTTATTTTTCAGTGTCTTCCCACCATGTTTAGCTGGTCTTGATGCCACCTTTTGAAAGAGAATTTTTCTCTACAAATGAATAAAGTGATAGATTAACTATTTGAATATGATTACCCAGGTGAAAGAAAGAGCTAAAAGATTCCCATTTTGTGTCATTTTTGTTTTCTTCTTTTTAATTTTAAGTTTTAAAAATATAGAGTGCTTCATGGTCCAGTTTTAGTATATGTTCTGCCAAAGTGAGCACTGAAAGATTTCTTAAGTCCTTTCTTTATTTAGCTTGCATTCAAAAGGTAAGTTTGGAAAAAGCATGTGGTGTCATTTAATAACCAATGGCAGAGTCGTTTGGACTTTGCTTTGGAAATTCTATGACAAAGATGACTCTTCTGCCAAGTACTCTGATTGATCACTAGAATGTACTTGCTGAAGACCTCTGCTGGCAATGTGATGTTGAACTAGTTGAAACATATGATCTGACACAAAAGCACAGATTAAGCCAAGTATTCATGTTCTGATATGGCCTCGTGACTCATGATGCGACCTCAAATGACTTATCTAACACAGCTTCTTTATCTGTTCAATGGGTAACAAATTCATACTTCAGGGTGTTGAAGCTTAATTAGTGTACATAAACCAAACTTGGAATCATCCTCGTGCTATTTTTTACTCAGATATGGAAGCAAAGAAAGACACAACTCACCACATATTGAGTTAGAGGACAGAGAATCTTAAGAATATTATAAGTACCTCAAACCAAGTTTACTGTTTACAATCATTCATGTTTTGACAATTGCATCAACGGCACTAGCTTCAATGGGAATCAACGACAAAGATGTATCTAAATGAGCAATGTTTGCCCCGATGGGCACAAATAATGCTTTTCATTAATATAAGTGATTAGGCCTGTGGGGCTCTGTAGAGATGATATCAGGAATGAGTTCAAAATAGGCAGTTCTTTATGTAATGAATCTGGGGAAAATGGGAACTAGAGTCTAAAAATATTTTATCTAGCATTGGAAGAAAATCTCTGTTTCAGGAATACCAGATAAAGTAACTGACTTCT
Source organism: Homo sapiens (assembly GCF_000001405.40). Classification (NCBI taxonomy): domain Eukaryota; kingdom Metazoa; phylum Chordata; class Mammalia; order Primates; family Hominidae; genus Homo; species Homo sapiens. The sequence continues at coordinate 69,712,585 of NC_000003.12, read as the reverse complement.
ATTGGCCGTTTCCTACAAATGTCTCTCTTTGAAGTGAAAGGGATTGCTCATTTCTTGGGTGTGCGTGCATGTGTGTGTGTGTGTGTGTGTGTTTGCATCATACGCTGTTGAATCTGCTAATGCTACAATTTCACCGTGAGCACCCAGAGGTCAAGAACTCTGTTTTTAATACTCACTGTCTAAGAATAAATACTTAGTCGGTACCTATGAATGGCTTTTGTTGTTAGTGCAGTAACTAATTGTAGCTTCTAATGTAATTACTGATTAAAACAGCTTTGACTGAGCCATTAAAGGGAACAAAAATATATTGGATCAGCGCCTCGGAGTCCTTGACAAATACATAGGAGGACTCCTAAGGGTCTTCCTAGCTCTCGATTCCAATTCCTTCCCTTTATCTCATTGCCCAAATTCAGGCAAATAAAGTTCCTATCTTACTCTTTCTATCTAGATCTGGCCATTCGCCATGATAAATCTGTAGGGAGGCAGATGACCGACAATGCCAGTCTGTCTGCTACCGCCTAAGGTCTGGCCCTGGCCCACTCTCCAATGTCTCAATCTTTCCTTGTGACTCTATGGTCACACCTTTGATTTTGATGCAGGGCAAGTGAGCCCCAAAATTGGGACTTAGCCTGGGAGGGTTCTTGGCTTTGCCCAGGAAAGAATTCAGGTGCAAGCCGGGTGGTGTCAGACAGCAACGTTTATTGAAGCAGCAGGGCACAGCAGCAGCAGAAGTACTGCTTCTTGCAGAGCAGGGCTAGCCCATAGGCAGCGTGCCCACAGTAGCAGCTTAGATGCAGTTCTTCAGTCATATTTACATCCACTTTTAATTATATGCAAATTAAGATATGGATTATACAGAATTTTCTAGAAATAGGGTGGTAACTTCCAAGTCATCAGGCCATTGCCATGGAAAGGGGCACCAACTTCTGGGTGTTGCCATGACAATGGTAAATTGACATGGCACAGTGATGGGTGTGTCTTATGAAAAGCTGCTTTCACCCCATCCATGTTTTAGCTAGTCCTCAGCTTGGTCCAGTGTCCAAGCCCTGCCTTTGGAGTCAAGTCCCACCTCCTACCTCAATTTCAGGTACCTGGCTCCATTGGCCTGCCTGAAGCCTTCTCAACTCTCTTGATTTCCCAAGGTGGGATTCAGCAGCCATGAGAATGTGAGCCACAGACCTCCAACTGCAGGAAGTATAATTGACTAAGACTCCTAGCTTCTATGCTGTGAAGCGCATCACTGTTTTTGGGCCAAGGCCATGTTTCTCATCACCAGTGATTGAACATGGAATACTGAGGCAGGCCCATTCCTTGGGGGGCACAGGACTCCTCTAATGGGTGGCATTGGCTTCAGGACTCCCTGATGGACTTGCTAAACATTCCTGAGAGCTGCACTTAGAACTTCCCTTTCTTCTTCATTAGGGGAATTAGGGGCAGATTTGCAATGAGGTCTGATGGTTTTCCCAACCTCTCCATTTTCTCTCATAGACATTTCCCCTAATCGACGTACACACATTTAATCCTGTCTTTGCATCCAGTTCTTGTTTCTCAAAGGACCCAAACTAACATAAGGAAGGTGGGCTTTCATACTAGGGATGGCAAATTGTATATAGGGATGCTAATCCTATGAGGAGCCCTCCAGAGTTGTCCCACTGTCCCAATGGTATGGCTCTTAGAGCCTTGTGTTGAGAAGGATTCTGAGGCCACAAGCATTTTGGCAAACGTGGTACCATGCCTCTTTTCTATGCCTATGATGGACATTTGTTAATTGATCATATCTGTGTGTGAAACAGAGCCATGCTGAGTTAGCAATATCTGCCATGGGTACAAGGGTTTATGGTAGAACAGATGGCAGGCAGCTGACATTATGGTTCAAACCTGTCAGCAGAACCTAAGTGTGAAAGTGGCATACCATGATGGTTTGAGTCCTTTACCAGGATTCCTTTGTCCAAGTTTCTTTAGCAGTCCCCAGGGAATGCTTGCATGTTCCAGGAATCTGTGTGGTTGATGCATACCGTCTTCATCACTCATCCAGCTCTGAGTCTTATCAATCCCCACTCACCACTACCACTACATAGCAGGCCATTTCCTACCACTTCTAACTTTTTTAAAAAATTAAATAAGCTTTAAAAATGTTATTTTTAAAATGCATACACATGACTTTAAATGTCTAACATACTCAAGTTAGTACTTGATGGTTTACGATGAATGAGTCATTTCTTGAATGGTTTTTCACTTCTACTCCCCAGAAGCAAGCCCCCTTAACTCTCCTATTTACTTCTCCTAATATTGACTTTCATGTTTCTAAAATTGTGCATACACTGTCATTTCCTGGTTCATTGATTTAAGAAGGTATCCCAGACTTCACTACACACTATATAAAGATCTAGCTCACCACCATGTTCCACCATTTCCTTTTTCTTAACGTGCCAGCGTAGCCATTTCTTTTACTAAATCAGTAGTCAACATTTACGTTAGTGAATGATTATGCAAATATTACTCAGCTCACTAGAATTATGCCTCCTTTTGTGTACAAACTTCTGCAGGAGTTAATAGTTATTATAATTAGTTATTTATTATTATTTACTATTATTGTTATTTTTCCTGGTTCCTAGAGCCCTCCTTGCTGGAGCCCTCTGTCCTCCTGATCCTATCTGGGCTGATCTTTCTCTTAGTTTGCTGTATGGCTGCATTCCCGGGGTTGTCTCTTTGCCAGTCTTCAGGAAAACATCTATTTTCCTGCATCTCATGTCTCCCTCTTTCTTGGTTTACCCTTTCATTTTGGTACTTTTCTTATACTCAATTTGCTGTTATTCTTCCTTGTATCACTTTACTCCAGTAGCTTGAGAAAGATAAAGATTTACTGAGTACTTGCCTATATGAATATGTCTTTTTCTTTTCTTTTTTTTGAAACAGAGTCTCGCTCTATTGCTCAGGCTGGAGTGCAGTGGTATGATTTCAGCTCACTGCAACCTCTGCCTCCTGGGTTCAAGTGATTCTCCTGCCTTAGCCTCCCAAGTAGCTGGGATTACAGGGGCCAGCCACCACTCCTGGATAATTTTTGTATTTTTAGTAGAGATAGGATTTCACTATGTTAGCCAGGCTGGTCTCCAACTCCTGACCTCAAGTGATCCATGCATCTCGGCCTCCCAGAGTGCTGGGATTATAGGCATGAGCCACTGCACCCAGCCTGAGTAAGTCTTTATGCCATCCTTCCACTTATTTAGACTGTTATATACTTCTAGAATGAAATCTATAACCTAGGATTAAATATTAACCTAAGATAAAAGTATTTTCCTCCCATTATTTAAAAAAGGCACTTTTCTAGATTCCAGTGTTGCTGAAATATCATTCTGTTTCCAGCTCCTTTGCAGTTGATCTATTGTTTTTCCCCTCTGGTAGCCTTTCGGATCTTCTTTTTAATTTCTTAAATGCTGAAATTTCACCACAATATGCCTTGATATGTTCTTAGTTTGGGTACAGAGACAGAGACTGTTGTGCAGGAAGTTTATGAGGGACTGCTCTTGAGAGCAACATTTGTTAAGGGATAAAGAAAACAGGATTGGGCAGAAGGAGAAGAAGTTAAACTGCAATGCAATTGCAACAAAGACTTTAGCCAATCCCATGGTGAGTTCTGAACTGGAGCAACACTTTGGAATTGTCACACCTTAGGCAGGTGGGCTGGGCCTTTATATTGTCTTCCCCTTTTGACCAGTCATGGATTCAGTCTATCCCCCAAAACAGCATGTCCGTGGGCAAGGCAGCTCCTTTAGGTCAAGGGCAATTGCCCAAGAGAAAATCATTTGAGAAGCCACAGCTACCAATATGCCCCTGATATGAGGGAATCCTTAGTCTTGTAGGGAAATCTGGATGGCATACAAGAGTATCCCCTCTATTATGGGTCTTGTTTTAATCAATGTGCTGAGCTCTTTCTGTACTCTTTCAATCTGAACAGTTATGTCTTTCAATTTTGTTTTTTTTGTGTGTTTATTCTTTAATAATCTCCTTTCTTCTTTTTTTCTATGAGTCATATTTTGTTCTTCCAGGATTGATCTTCTAATCTTTCTTCTTCTATTGGCCATCTCTTGATCACTTTGATTTACATCTTGAGCTGTTTCTTCAACTTTATTTTCCAATGTGCTTGTTGTGGTCATCCAATGACATTGTGAGTCCCAAGATATATTATTGAGGTACCAACTACATCTACTATGAGGATTAATAACTTACTTATTGTTTGTTGTCATTTTGCGGGATTTTGGGAGGAAGAATATATAAACACATGTGGCCTATCTGGCATTTTGAGCCAGGAATCATTAGTTACAGGCTGTCTTTACTTAGTCTTCTGCTGTTCCTTTTTGAATCCCTTCATTCCAAGTATAATCAGAGAGAACCTACTCAAAACACAAAATAAAAGCAGAGATCAGGCAGTAATGTTTAGCAAGACCTTATCAAAGACTTGGGTAATGAAAATGAATTCCGACACAGAGAAATTTAACATGAGATGTTAAATTTGGCTTCTCTCAGAGTTCATAGGTTCAATTCATTTCAACAGGCATCTGTTGGGTGTTTAAGCCTCACTTTGGCTCATGTTTCATGGAATGCTCACATATTCTCATTAGGGAGCCTTTGGGTACATCTCTTTTGCCTGTGTCTGTAAGAAACAAACAGAAGAAAAGATCTCCTTTTACTACTAAAGTCTTAGGCTTTCCAATGAAGTCCTTATTTTTAATCTAGGACGGGCCTCTTTCAAGGTTGATTGGTGGTAGGAATTTCCATTCTCTCCGTAGCTCTAAGGGCTTCAATGGGGCCATGCATTTCTCAAGGCTGATTTCAGGAATTCTTCCATAGAACCACTGTCAGACATTAACAGTTTCACAAGGGAAAGTGCAAACAACTCAAGAGATTCCTCTTCTGGTTCATTTTGACAATTAGGACTCCCCATCCCTCCTGCCATTTTATATTCTTGGTTCTCTTTCTTCAGCATGTAATGGTTTAAATAATAACAACACACACTCACACACAACACACACACCACACACACCTCCAAAACTAAGCAATAACACATAGACATCATAGGAATCAACCTTCAGAGATGAAGGCTGTCACTGAGTGAAATAGTCTATGTTCTCCCGCAGAGCAATTCAACTCTTCAAATCACGGTTCCTCTAGAAAAGGGTTTTCTATCACATTTGTATAACCAACTTTTTTCCCCAAACTAAGAGATACATAGCCCCAAAGTAACACTAAGTATTTATCAATCTTCTTCAAACAGAAAATTGCGCCGTTTGGGAGAATTGTAATTACCAGATTTGTTTTCCTGGGTACTAAAGCTTAATGTTTATAGTCAGTGACTCTGAAGTCAGTCAGTAATGGGTTCAAATCCCAGCCCTGTCTCTTCCTAACAGTATCCTTGAATAGCTACTTAATTTTTTGGTGTTTCAGCCTTCTCATCCATAAAATGGGAATAGTTAAAAGAACACACCTCAGAGAGTTGTTGCTAAAATTACGTAAGGAAATTCATGTAAAAAAACTTCATACATTTTTTGCCTACTGAAAAAATAAATGTCCAGTAAATATTAACTACCATTATTAACTAAAAGTGTGGATGCCTTTTAT